>NC_000010.11:48476428-48627943 GCF_000001405.40 Homo sapiens
GGGCTCTGTTACAAAACAGTCAAAAAAGGACTGATCCTCTAAGCCTCCTTCCCAGGGGATGCAAGCTAATAACAGCTCTGCCAGAAAACCTTCAGGGGCCGACTGAGCCCACCTGCCAGCACCATGCATGCCCAGACACGTCTGGCATCGCTAACTCCTGAGATTTCTGCATTTCCTCTGTACTCCCGGGAGAAAGGAGATAAGCGCCTTTGATGGCAGTTCCTGTTTTAATGGTTGTGAGTTCTTCAGCACACAGCCTGGGAAGGCAGATAAATGCCAGGCCTGGGGAAGGGGTCAGTCTAGGGTCTATGTGGGATTCTGCCAAAGATCCCCAATTCTGGGCAAGCACAGAGGGAGATGGACATGTGGCCGGGGAGCCAGGCCTGCTGGGTGCAGGTCTTGGTGCAGCTCTTGGACGGGCTATTTGGGCCAGGACCAAGCACAGTCTTTGAGGCCAGAACATCCACCTCCACTTCTCAGTTCTGCCCCCTTGCTGGCTGTGTCATCTTGGGCAAGTCATCTCACTTCTTTGACCCAAGTTTCTCCCTTTGTTTCATTTATTTTTTATATGCACACATCTAGAAAAGCACTTAAAGCATAAATATGCAGATAAACATGTCATTGTAAAAGGAACACCTGTGTAACTACCCAAGCCAAGCTAGAGAACATTTAAGATATGTATGCCCCTCTCCCATCCCATCTTAACCTCTTCCCTCCTCCCTACTATCCTGACTTTCATAGCATTCATTTCTTTGCTTTTCTTTATATTCTGTTGCCTATCTATCTATAAATAACAAGTTTACTTCTGCCCTGTGTTTCAACTTTATATAGGTAGATAATACAACATGTTATTTTGTTTGTTTGGGTTTAGTTCCACATTGTTTTTAAGATTCATGCATGTAGGTGGCACTGTAGTGGATTCATTCCCATTGTTGTGGAGTTTCCCACTGTAAGACTGAGTCATAGTTATTTATCCATTGTATTGTTGCTGGGCACTTGGGTTAGTGTCAGGCTATCATCAATAAGGCTGCCATGAACATCCCATGTATCCAAGTCTCCTGGCATACCTGTACACACATTTCTATGTAGGACATGCTTCATATGGAATTGCTGGGACACAGGTGTGCACAGCATCAACTTCAGCAGACACTGCTGATTTCCCTAGCAATATGTGCAAGTTTCTATAGCTTTCTATCCTCATCACGACTTGAAACTGTCTTTTTCATTCAGTCATTTAGTCATTCTGGTGGGTGCATACAAGTATCCCATTGTGATTTAATTTGCAATTCCCTGATTACTGATGAGGTTGTGCGCAGGAGCCTATGTTCACTGGTCATGAGGATTTCTTATTTTAGGAAATGGCTGTCCAAGTCTCTTGCCCACGCTTCTGCTGCCTTGTCTGTTTTTGCCTCATTCATTTGTAGGAGTTTGGGGAGTGAGTAATTTGATGACCACATGTGTTGCAAACGCCTTCACCCAATGTATAGCTTATCTTTTCATTTTCTTAATCTACCTTTTACAAACAGATGCTCTTCATTTTATAAAATATAATTTATCAACAATTTCATAATAGATTAGTGTTTTTTTGTAACTCATTTAAAAATTCTTTCTCTACCCCAAGATTATGATAATGTTCCTTCCCTGGTGCTCAAAAGTGCCACCTGTCATACATCAAAGTCCAACTATGTAAGATTCTGCTTCTGGGCTCTATTCTGTTCCACTGGTTCACTTTCAGCAACCTGGAACCAAAGCCACTGTGAGGCTGCAGAAATCCCTGGGTGGGCTCAGACCTTTCCAGGCCATTAATCTAGGGCCCTAAGTCAAATGTGCTGCAACCTTCAGGGATCAAGGAGACCAAGGCTGACAGTGTGATATCATTCATGAAGCCTGAGAGAACAACTTTCACTCTCAACATTATATTGACTCTTCCTTGTGAGGGATTTATCATTCAATGAAAGGTGGTCAGGTAGACCATAGCCAGGGGTGGGAGAGGAGAGTGGGCAAACAGAGGAGCAAAGGAAGGGGCTCAGCCCATGTGGCTTGTGAAATCTGGAGACTGGCCCAGAGCCCCAAAAGGTGAGTCCCTGCCCAGACTGTGTGCTGATCAAACACCATAGGGAGAAAGAGGACGTCCATAGCTTGTGTGGTCAGAGCCCAGCCAGCTTTCAGACTCCCAGTCTCCACATTCAGCAGGGAGTCGGTGGCCCTGGCCCCAATGCCATGGTGATCCCATTATGAAAGATCTTTTCATGACCACTTCATATGGACACCGACCTAGAGATAGCGACTGCACGGCTGGGAGTCACCTTTCATTTCTCTCATACCCCATGTCCAGACCATAGGCAAAACCTGGCAGCTCCACCTTAAGGATACACCTGCAGCTGGCCACTTTGCACCATCAGCTGCATGCCCACCCCATGGACTCTCCTGGCCTGCTGTGTCTACTGCTGTCCCTCTATGGTCCACTCCTCATGTGGTGGCCAGGGCACCTTTTACATAAATCTGACTCAGGTCCTGTGTGTCTCCTGCTCTGAGCTCTCCTGGTATCCCACTGTATACAGAACAAAATAAAAAATCCCCACCAGGACCCCAAGGCCTTGGTGACCACTCTTACCTCAGGCCCTCCCACTCGCCTGGTCTTCACTCCCTCGGGGCCCCGGCCTTCCTGACATGCCTCGTGTTCCCAAAGCTCGTCCCTACCTCGGGGCCTTCGCACGTGTCCATGTCTCTGCTGGAATGCTCTTCCCCAGCATGCCCCTGGCTCCCCGTTGCTGCATTAAGCCTGCTTGGCCACTCCACCTAACCACACCCCCGCCGTCCTCTCACTGAGCTTCAATGGCTTTGTGACATGTCTCACCCCTGGACACCACGAGACACATGTCCTTGTCTACCATCCCTCCCACAGAGAATGGAGATGAGGGAAGGCGGAGGTGTGGCCTATCCTCATGAATTCCTCACCCCTGGAATAGAATCCAGTACATTTAGATGTCTAATACACAGTTTTCAATAAAGGAGGAAGTGAGTACACGGCAGCCGTTGGGTGACTCCCGAGGGCTGGCAGTGGAAGGGCCAGCCTGCTGTGAGAAGCACAGGATGCAGCCAGCAAGTCCTCAGTGAGCAGGGTCTTTGGGGCTCAGGACAGGCAGGGGGCATGATTACCTGGAGGCAAGGGTTCTAGAGGGTGGGCATGCGATCTACGGGCAGTACCTCCGCCCAGCGGGGCCCAGATGACTCGGCGGATGGCCTGCACCCAGTCCTCCATGTCACGCTGGGAGCTGGCCATGAGCAGGAGCGCCTCGGGGTTGGCCGGCACCTTCTCCCGCTCCCCGGCACCACCTGCAAGACAGGGAGACACAGGCTTACGCAGGGTCCCTGCCCGCAGCACACTCTCCACCGCCGGCACTAGTCAGCATTACTCCCTGTGGGATATTCCCAAAGTCCTTCCAGCAACAGCTGAGCTTTGCTTTTATCTCACAGTCCATCCCTTTCACAACTCATATCTCTTTCTTTGGAGTCTTTTCCCATTTTCTCTTTTTTCCCTTCGTCTCACTTTGCTATTTTCCCATGCCAAAATAGAAATAATTTAATGCACTCCAGGACACTATTAGAAAATAAAGCATGCAGATGTTAGGCCAGCTCAGAGACTTTCAGTGCCCCAGGGTGGCCTCACTTTATGCTTTGTTTCAAATCAATTTTGCCCATTTTAAGAACACAGTTAAACGTCACTATGTGCTTTTAACTTTGGCTCGGAGATTAGGGCCTCCCTTCCCCATCCTGAAGACAAGAGTCTCCGTATATATTAAGGTCACAGAGGCTGGATGTTAAACCAGGATGCAGCACAGCACCCCAGAATTCTCCACCACACCCATCTCACGGCTAGACAGTGGATCGGCACCTAAAGGCAGAAGGATCGGAAAACTCAGACAGTTGCTTGTGAACTGACTTTCCCCTCTTTGGTTCTCAAGTTTTCATGTGTAAGCAAATTGATCTTTGGGAAATACAAAAAACTATTTATACTGAACTTCACAGGTAATTTTAGGGTTTTCAAGAATGAGTTTGTCTTTATACATCCTACCCCCCGACATCCCTGGACTATCTGCCAGTAGGGTGTGAGATCCACAGACCTGTGTTCCCATGGGGTGGGTGGGCCCAAGCCACGCTTTGCTGGAGCCTGTGACCCAGGGATGGAGAGCAGACAGGACCAGCGCTTACTGAGCACCTGGTACGTGCCTGGGACACTTCTGGTAAGCACAGCTGCCACACACATGCCCTCCTGGGGTTCTTTATCCTCCACAGTGACTCCATGAGGAAGGTACTATTTCCAACCACATTTTACAGATGAGAAAACTGAAGCACAGAGGAATTAAGTAACCTGTTGAATGCACACAGCGAATGAGTGGCACAGCCAGAGATTCAAGTCCCGACTCTGGGCTCTCAGCCATCCCACTCTCCCTCCTGCCATCTCTCCGCCAAGAACTGGGGAAACCAAGCAGGCTGCTCTGAGGGCTGAGGCAGAGGGTGGGGCTGTGTCCTGGCTGAGGGCACCACAGCGGGCCCGTGGGGAGGCAGGGGGAGAGGCCGTGGGGCCCAACGCTCAGGAGGGTGAGGAGCAGCCAGGGCTCTGTGATAACCTCTGGAGCCCTTCACTACGCAGATAAGCCCTGCTCGCCGGGGCTCAGGCAGCCGCTGGGCAGCAGAGCTGTGGAGGTCGGTAGGAAGGAAGCTGGAGGCTGAGACAGTGGAGCCCAACCCCAGAGGCTGCTCGGTTGGCTGGTGTGGTCACTCACAGGACTGTGGGCATTGCCACCTACCGAGGTTGCCACCTGGAAGCAGCTCTGCCTTGGGGACAGCAGTGCTGCACAGCATTTGGGCTACGAAGGCTGGAATGGCTGAGTGTGCGAGATAGGGAGAGGAAGCCAGATGTCACCAGGAAGCTTTTCTATGTCAGCATTCCTAGAAAAATATCTCAAGATGACTTGGAAAAAAAAAAGGAACCTGGAGATCCACAGCTCCAGGAATTTGTGGTTACTTGGTTTGTCCTAAATATTCACTTTTGTACCTAATCTTGAATTTCTCATTTGAAAATTATTTTCCCTGAAGAGGGCCACCCAAGTCACACAAGCTTCAGGCCCCACAAAACTTGGATCTGCCCTGCCCAGAGCTGTGCCCCTGTCCTGGGTCCTGCCCCAACGTGCTCTCAGCCTGTCTAACTTTTTAAGTATTTATATATATTTTTATATATGCATAACTGTTAAGGAAATGGCCACACACTGTTCTGCAAAGTGACTACTCCATTTTACTTTCCCGCCAGCTGTGTATGACAGTTCTGGGACCCCCACATACACACCAACACTAGCTATGCTCAGACTTTTTACTTTTAGCCATCCGAATAGGTGTGCAGGTGTTTGAATTTGCATTTCCCAAATGACTGATGATATTGGACATCTTTTATGTATTTAGTTGCTATCTGTGTGTCGTTTTTGGTGAAATATCTGTTCAAATCTTTTGCCTATTTTTAAAATAGATTATTTATTTTCCATTATTGGTGTTGAGAGTTCTTGACATATTCTGGATATAAGGCCTTTACCAGATATTTGCTTTGCAAATATTTCTCCCAGTCCATGTCTCTCTCTTTTTTCATTCTATTAACAGTGTATTTCCAAGAGCAGAAGTTTTTAATTTTGCAAAGTCCAATTAATCATTTTTTTCGTTTATTGAGTGTGCTTCCTGCATTGTATCTAAGAAATCTTTACTTCATCTAAGGCCATAAAAGTTTTCTTCTAGGTTTTCTTTCAAAAGTTTCACAGTTTTAGGATTTACATGTAGGTCTATGAGTTACTTTTTGTATATGGGAGAAGGTGTAATTGAAGTTCATTCTTTTGCATATGCACATTCCAGCCCCACTTGGTGAAAAGTCTATCATTTCTCTACAGACACCAGTGAACCTCCATGTGCAATCGTGCTATCTGCAAATAGAGACAGTTTACTTCTTCCTTTCCAGCTGGGAATCGTTTCTTTCTTTCTTCTTCTAATGACACTGACCAGAGCCTCAAATACCATGTTGAATAGAAGTGGTGAGAGCAGACATTCTTGCTTTTTCCTGTATCTTATGACAAAAGCATTCGGCTTTTCACCATTAAGTCTATCTGCTATAGGCTGTTTGAAGATGTCCTTAATCAGGTTGAGAAAGTTCTTTTCTATTTCTAATTTGCTGAGAGGTTTTTTTTATTGATACATAATATTTGTACATATTTATGGAGTACATGTGATGTTTTGTTACATGCATAGAGTGTGTAATAATCAACTCTAGGAATTTGGGGTGTCCATCACTTCAAGTGTTTATTATTCCTATGTGTTGGGAACATTTCAAGTCCTCTCTTCTAGTTATTTTGAAATATGCAATACATTGTTGTTAACTATTGTTACTCTACCCTGCTATGGAACATTAGAATTTATTCTAACTCTATGTGTGTACCCATTAACCAACCTCTCTTCATCCCCCTCTCTGCTTGACTCTTCTCAGCCTCTGGTAACCATCATTCTAATCTCTACCTCCATGAGACAAACTTCTTTTCAGCTCCTACATATAAGTGAGAACATGCAATATTTGTTTTTCTATGCCTAGCTTATTTCACTTAATATGCTGGTTCCATTCATTGCTGCAAATGACACGATTTCATTCCTTTTCTATGGCCGAATAGTATAACATTTTGTATATATACCACAGTTTCTTTATCCATTCATCCACTGATGGACACGTAGGTTGATTCCATATCTTTGCTATTGTGAATAGTGCTGCAATAAACATTGGGGTACATTAACGTATTTATGCCAAGTGTTCCATTATTGGAATGCTAAGCTTGTGGGAGTTATGCATATCCTACTGCTCAAGGTCACTGCCAAGGTCTGATTTTTCCCCCAAAAATTTGCAACCTCCGGCATAAATGGGTTAATTCCTTTGATATACTGATTTCCTTTCCTTTGGATAAATACCAGCAGTGGAATTGCTGGATCACATGGTGGTTTTACTTTTAGGTTTTTTGAGAAATCTCCATACTGTTTTCCATAATGACTGTGTTAATTTACATTCCCACCAACAATGTATAAGAGTTTTCTTTTTTCAGTATCTTCTCCAGTGTCTATTTTTTTTGTGTTTTTTATAATAGGCATTCAAACTAGGGTAAGATGATATCTCATTGTGGTTTTGACTTGCATTTCTCTGCATTTTTTTCATATACCTCTTCACCATTTGTATGTCTTCTTTTGTGGAATGTCTATAGGATCCTTTGCCCACTTTTTAATGGGTTGTTTTGCCAGCTGAGTTCCTTGTATATTCTGGATATTCGTTTCTTGTCAGATGAACAGTTTGCAAATATTTTTCTCCTATTCAACGGGTTGTCTCTTCACTCTGCCGATTGTTTCCTTTGCTGTGCAGAAGATTTTTTAGTTTAATATAGTCCCACTTAGCTATTTTTGTTTTTGTTGCCTGTGCTTTAGAAGCCTTAGCCATAAAGTCTTTGACTAGACCAACATCCTGGAGTCTTTCCCTCTATGTTTTCTTCCAGTAGTTTCATACTTTCATGTTTTATGTGTAAGTCTTTAATACATTTGTAGTTGATTTCTGTACAGAGAAATGTGAGAGATGGGGTCTAGTCTCAGTCTTCTGCATATGGATATCCAGTTTTCCAGCATCACTTATTGAGGAGGGTGTCCTTTCCCCAGTGTATGTTCTTGGCACCTGTGTGGAAAATTGGTTGGCTGCTGAGCCACGTTTTTATTGGGAATGGATGTTAGATTTTGTCAAATGTCTTTTCTGCATCTATTGTAATGACAGTATATCTTTTTAGTGTGTTAATTGATGAATTACGCTAATACATTTTCAAATGCTAAACCAATCTTGCATTCCTGGGAGAAATCCCGCTTGGTAATGATGTACTATCCCTTTTATATATTGTTGTTTTGATTTGCTAAAATTTTGTTAAAAATATTTTATGTATCTTCATGAGGGATATTGGCCTGCAGTTTCCTTTACTTACAGTGTCTTGGTCTGGTTTTGGTGGCCTCACAGAATAAGCTATTAAATATTCCCTTGTTTTCAAACCTAGAAGTTTGTAGATAATTGCTATTATTCCTTCCTTAAATATTTGATATAATTCACCAATGCAGCCATCTAGGCCTGGAGTTTACTTTGTGGAAATGTTTGTAATAACAAATACAATTTCTTTAATATATACATCTATTTCTTCTTGAGTAAACTTTACTAGTTTGTGTCTTTCAAAGAATTTGTCAGTTTCATCTAAGTTATTGAATGAATTGGCATAAAGTTGTCCATAATGTTCCTTTATTATCCTTTTACTATCTGAAGAAGCTGTACTGATATTACCTCTCTCACCCTGATATTGGTAATTTCTGTCTTTTTCCTTTTCTCCTTCAATCAGCCTTGCTGGAGGATTACCAATTTTATTGATCTCAACAAATCAGCCTTTTGCTTCATTGACTTTTTTGTTTTTGTGGTTAGCAAACTTGTTTTTAAAGGACTAGATGGCAAACATTTTAGGTTTTTAGGCCATATAGTCTCTGTCACAACTACTTTACTCTGCCACTATAGTGCAAATGCAGCCAAAGACAATATGTTAACGAAGGGTCATGACTGTATCTGTGTAAACTTCATTTACAAAAACAAACAGCCAGCCTGCAGGTTGTAGGTTGCCGACTTGGGTCATAGTTCATTGATTTCCACTCTGATCTTTATTTTTTTTTCTTCTGCTTACCTTGGGTTTAATTTGGTCTTTTTCTAGTTTCTTCCAGAGTTCAGTGCTATAATTGTCCCTGAACTACTACTTTAGAGGCAGCTCCCAGATTTCAATACGTTGTGTTTTCATTTTAATTCAGTTCAAAATACCTTCTAGTTTCCCTTTGGATTTCTTCTTTAATTTATGGGTTATTTAGAAGTGCGTTAGTTTCCGAATTTGGGGGGATTGTACCAGAATATGGTATATCTTGCTCAGTGAACTTGCTAAGTGCACTGAGAAAAATTATTCTGCTGTGGTTGGGTGGAGTGTCCTATAAATGTCAATTTGGTCTAGTTGAAAGTTTTGTTCAAATCTTCAATATCCATACTGATTTTTCTGTCTACTTCTTCTATCAATTATTGAGAGAAGGCTATTCAAATCTCCAATTATAATTTTAGATTTGTCTATTTTCTCCTTGTATTTCTATCAGTTTTTGCTTCAGGTAGTTTGAAGCTGTTATGGAGCATAAATATTTAGGACTGTTATGTCCTCTTGAAGAACTGACCTCTTTATCATTATGAAATGACCTTATTTATCCCTAGTCATATTTTTTACTCTGGTCTGAAATCCTTGATATAAATATAGCCATCCAGTTTTCTTTTGATTAGTGTCAGTATGATGTTATCTTTTTCCATCCTTTTAACTTATTTGTGTCTTTACATTTTAAGTGCATTTTTTATCAGGCATATAGTTGGGTCCTGCTTTTTATCCAATCTGATAAGCTTTATTTATAATGTGATTATTGGGATGCTTAGATTTAAGTCTGGCTTCTGTTTTCTATCTGTCCTTTTTCTCTTTTCTTGTCTTGTTTTGGATGGAGTTTTTGTTTTTTGTTTTTAATGACTTCATTCTATCTGCTTTGTTGGCTTATTAGTAAAAATCTCACTCTCTTCATGCTGTAGGAATTGCTTTAGGGTTTATGGTATACATCTTTAACTTATCACAGTCTACATTAAGTGATATTATACCCCTTCATGTATGATATAAAGATCTTACAAGATTATACTTCCATGTCTTCTTTCCTGACCTTTTTTGCAATGTTTATCTTACCTTTTACTGGTATACTTTGTTATACATCTCATAATATATTGTTGCTATTTTTATTTTATTATTTTATTATTATTATTATTATTTTGAGACAGGGTCTTGCTCTGTCACCCAGGCTGGAGTGGAGTGGTGCAATCTCGGCTCACCGCAACCTCCTCTGCCTCCTGGGTTCAAGCAATTCTCCCGTCTCAGCCTCTTGAGTAGCTGGGATTACAGGCACGCACACCACGCCAGGTTAATTTTTGTATTTTTAGTAGAGACGGGGTTTCACCACGTTGGCCAGGCTGTTCTCGAACTCCTGACCTCAGATGATCCACCCGTTTTGACCTCCCATGTTATTTTTACTTTAAATCTTAACATCTTTTGAAAATATTTAAATTATAAGAGAAAAGCATATATTTACCCATGTAGTTACCACAGTGCTTTTCATTCTGTTGTGTAGATTCAGATTCCCATATGGTATTATTTTACTGCTGCCTGGAGGTCTTCCTCTAACATTTCTTGGAGTATGCAGCTATTGGTGATGAATTCTTTCAGCTATTGAGTGTGGGAATCATTAATTCATCTTCATTTTTGAAAGATATTCTCACTGGATAAAGTCTTCAAGGTTGGAAATGTTTTTCTTTCACAACTGTTAAGATGTTGCTCTACTTGCATTGTTTCTCATGAGAATTTTGCCATCATCCTCATTTTTTGATGTTTTGTGTCTTTTTTACTGTTTCACTAGTTATGGGTAATTTGATTATGACGTGCCTCAGTGCAATTTTATTCAGGTTTCCTATACTTGGAACTCACTGAACTTCTTAGATTTGTGAGCTTATAGTTTTCATAACATTTGGAATATTTTGGCGATTGGTACTTCAAATACGTGTTTCCATCCCCTGTCCCTGCTTGAGATTCCAGTTACATGTATATTACACAACTTAAGGTTATCCTGCAGCTCGCTGATGCTCTGTTTTTGTTAAATTTTTTTTCTCTGTGTGTTTTATCTTTGTACAGTGTGGTAGCAGAATAACAGCCCCCCAAAGACATCCACATGCCTGTCCCTGGAACCTGTGATTAGGTTAGGTTACACAGTGAAGAATTAAGGTTGCAGATGGAATTAAAGTTGCTAATCAGCTGGCTGCTTTAAACTAGGAAGATTATCCTAGATTATCCAAGTGGGCTCAAGGTAATCATAAGGGTATTTAAAAGTGGAGGGGAAGACAGAAGAGGAGTGTAAGAGAGAGATGTGTCTACAGCAGAAGGGATAAAATGTGAGAAGAACCTGATCTGTCATTTTTAGTCTTGAAGGTGGAGGAAGGGAGCCAGGAGCTGATGAATGCAGGCAACCTCTAGAAACTGGAAAGCTCAAGAAAAATGGACTCGCCCTCAGACCCTCCATAACGGAATTCAGGCCTACTGACACCTTGATTTAAGCCCAGTGAAACCTGTGTCAGGCTTCTGACCTACAGAACCATAAGGTAAATTTGCATTGTTTAAGCCACTAAGTTTGTGGTAACATGTCACAGGCCAGGCACCAGGCACAGTGGCTCACGCCTGTAATCCCAGCACTTTGGGAGGCTGAGGTGGGAGGATTGCTTGAGCCCCAGTTCAAGACCAGCCTGGGCAACATGGCAAGACCCCAACTCTATGAAAAATAATTTTAAAAAATTAGCCAGGCACGGCATGACCAAGCCTGTGGTTCCAGCTACTAAGGAGTCTGAGCCCAGGAGTTCCAATCTGCAATGAGCTGTAATCATGCACTGCACTCCAGTCTATGCCACAGAGCAAGATCCTGTCTCAATAAATAAATAAATAGTAAACAATGTGTCACAACAGCAATAGAAAACTAATACAGCTAGCTGCTATTGCTATGTCTTCACAAATCTTTTCATGTTAGTGTGTCTAATCTGCCATTAACCCCACCCAGCATTAGTTTTCATCTCATACGTAATAGGTTTGATCTCTAGAAGTTTAATTTAGGTCTTTTTAAAAAAATAACTTTCATGTGTCTACTTTTTGATCATATAGAATACAGTTAGAAAAACTGTTTTAATGTCTTTGCTAATTCTAAAATCTGTGTCATTTCTGGGTTTGTCTCAATTGATTGCTTTTTATTTTTCTCCTCATTATGGGCTACATTTTCCTGCTTCTTTGCATTCCTGTTATTTCTAATTAGTTGCCAGACACTGTGATTTTTAAATGGTTGGGTGATGAATGTTTCTGTATTTCCATAAATATTCTTCAGCCTTTTTCTGGTATGAACGTAGATTCTTGGAAAGAGTTTGATCCTTACAGATGTTGCCTCTAAGATTTGTTAGGTGGAACCAGAGTACTCAGTACAGAGCTAATTATTTCCCACTACTGAGGGAAAACCCTTCTGTATATTCTGTCCTACGCCCTACAAGCTGTTAGGTTTTACGGTCTTGCAGGCAGGAACAGGTGCCATGCTTTGCCTGGCATTAGCGTGGGTGCTGTTGCCTCTGATCCTTTCTGGTAGTTCTTTGCCCAACCTGGGGTAGTTTTCCTCATGTGCACATGGTGACGAGTGCATGGCTCAATTCTCAAGGCATTTTTCTCTCTGTGCAGCTCTTTCCTCCTCAGCAGCTACCCTGCAGACTCTAGATGTTTTGGTCTGTCTGGACTTTTAGCTCTGTCTCTTCAACTCACAGAGTCCAACGGGCTCCACCTGGGTCTCCCCTTCCTGCATACAGCCTGCAAACTTTCTCCAGGCAGTCAGCTGGGGCACATGTAGGGAATCACCTTGTTTCCCATCTCTTGGGGGTCATAGTCCTTCCCTAACGTATTTTGAAAGCATTGTTTCAAATATTTTGTGCTTTTCTTTTTTCTTTCTTTTCTTTTTTTTGGCTGTTTCAGGTGGGAGGGTAAATAGGTCCCTGTTACTTTATCTTGTCCAGAAGTGAAAACCCTATTACCATGCCTAAGGGCCTACTCTATATGAAACACCCTGCAAGGTGCTTAATAGGCCCAGTCCCAGGCAGTCTTCATAGACACCCTAGGAAGGAGCATTGATGACCCCATTTGACAGGTGGAAAAACCGAGGCTCAGAGAAGTTAAGAACTTTGCTCATGAACAGGCAAGTGGAGGTGTTGGAATTCAAACACAGGTTTGTTTGCCCATAAACTCATTCTGTTTTCTCAATATAAAATCTTCCTTATGGCAATAAAGGGGAGTGCAAGGAAGATGAAATGGAGGATTACAAGATTACAACAAACTTGGGGACTTTCTACAGTGTTCCATGGTTTATGCTGACCTTCTTCTCTGTAACTTAGGAAACATTAGTATTAGCTTTACTTAAATGAATAAGAATTACACTGGCAAATATTTCAGGAATAAATTCATTATGAAAGATGAGTGTCTATTATCACAGTTTCTGGTTTTTCCTCTTTTTTAATTGTCTGTGTGGCCACTGTGTTTCCACCCCATCCCATTACACATGACAGACTTCTGAGGCTGCCTCTTTTTTTTTTTTTTTTTTTTTGAGACGGAGTCTCACACTGTAGCCCAGGCTGGAGTGCAGTGGTGCAATCTTGGCTCACTGCAAGCTCCGCCTCCTAGGTTCACGCCATTCTCCTACCTCAGCCTCCCGAGTAGCTGGGACTACAGGCACCTGCCATCACGCTCGGCTAATTTTTTGTATTTTTAGTAGAGATGGGGTTTCACCGTGTTAGCCAGGATGGTCTGGATCTCCTGACCTCGTGATCCACCCGCCTAGGCCTCCCAAAGTGCTGGGATTACAGGTGTAAGCCACCACGCCCGGCCCAGAGGCTCTCTTAAACAGTGCTTAGGGTCCAACGTCTATGGGTCAAACCTCAGCTCCCTCAATGTGGAGCACAGTGACTTAATTTCCCCAACTGTCAGACTCATGCACCTGTAGGGGGATGAAACCAAAGGGACCCACCTCATCAGGAGAATGAAATGGGACAGCCCCTTAGCTTAGTCCCTGGCAGCTGGCAAGCACTGTCTAAGTGTTCCCTTTTATTATCATATTTAAGTACAGGATAGAGGGGGATTTCTCAGCCTCAGCACTACTGACATGTTGGGTGAGATCATTTTTCATGGGGTGTGGAGGCCTGTCCTGTGCATAGCAGGATGGGCAGCAGCATCCCTGACCTCTGCCCACTCCCTCCCTCCCAGGCTATGACAGCCAACAGTGTCTCCATACATTGTCAAATGTCCCTTGGAGCCCAAATGCCCCAGTTAAGAAACATTGATACGGAACAGCCAGATCTCTATTGCCTATGAGTCTAAATGACTTACAATTCTATCATCCTGTGACTTCCCGTAGGCACAATGTGGCATGTCCAAGAATTCTAAGTGCCGCTTCTATCAAACTAGCTCCTCCTGTGTTCCCACTTCGGTGGCCACAGCTAGGTGCCCAAGGCAGGATGTTGGGAGCCCCCTGGACTCTTCCTCTCCCTCACCTTTACACTGACCCCAGTCTCCCTGGTGGGCCCATCCGTTCTCAGGCGTTAAATGCTGTCCTCGTGCTGAGACATCCAGATTCACTGCTCCCCTGACCTCCAGACCTGCGGGAAGTTCACCTCCCATCTGCCTACACCCTCTGCTCTCAGGTGAGGGCAACTCCATCTTCTGGTTACTCAAGTTGAAACCGGACACATCCTTGCTCCACTCTCTCTCACCTCTCCTATCCATTCCTCTCAGCAAATTCTAGTAGCTTCTCCTTCAGAACATAGCTGCAATCTGGTCACTTCTCACTGCTCACCTGGTCTGGGCCACCACCACTCCTCATCTAGAGTGCTGTACAGTCTCCAGGCTCCTTCCTTTATCCCGACAATCTATTCTCAGTTGAGCAGCCACAGAGACCTGGTAGAGGCCTGAACCAGCTCCCCAACCCCTGCTCAACATCCCCCAGCAGGCCCCTCTTGGCAAAGGCCTCGCAGTGAGCCTGAAGGCCCCTCACCCCTACTCCTGCGACGTCATCTCTGGCTCCCCTCCCCTTTGCTTTTGCCAGTTCTCAAGCACACCCGGCATGCTCCTGCTTCACGGTTTTTGGACCTGCTGTTCCCTTGCTCCTGCTGTGGCCCAGAAAGCTGTCCTTGCAGCACTGGCCCCCTTCAGGTCTTTCTTCAGATATTACCTTCTTGGGGAATCTTTCCTGACCACCCTATTTAAGGCTCACCATGCATCACCCACCACACCCCATGTTCCTTCTTGGCCTGAATTTTTTCATAGCACTGATTGCAATCAATACACTCTGTATGTATTTTATGTGTTTACATGACATGCTTATTCATAATGTTTCTGGTTGGCCCACCCCGACTCTGTCTATTTTATAGGCAACTCCAGCACAGCCAGCAGAGCCTGGCATGGAGAGGACACGCACTGAGCCTGAGATGAATAGGAGGTTAGTGAGGGCGGCAGCGGCAGAACAAAGGAGACTGGCACACGTGAAACCCTCGCGTAAGGCGGGCATGACACTCACAGACTGATGAGCGTGAGTAGTGTGAACACTTGTGGGATCTTGAGGGAAGCAGTATCACTATTCCCATTTTAAAGAGAGGTAACTGAGCCCAGAAATGTTTAGAAACAGCCCCAGCTCTAACTATGAGCTGTGTGTGTATGTACCAGGGAACTATGACCCCGGGAAGTCTGGCTCCTATCCGAACCCCACTTTTCTCACTGCTTCTGCCTGTGGCTTGTTCAAGGGCACCAGCCCCAGGTGACCAGCCCTTTTTGATTCCAGCCAGGCTTTCTCCCCTCTGAGCTCCTGAACTTAAGGATTTCCTTTTGAGACCTGGGGAGAGGGGGAGGCTCGAAAATGCAGGGGTCGCAGGACAAGAACTGGCTTTCAACTTTTCCATATAAACATTTTCATAAGAAAAAGAAAAAAGGGTAACTGATATGTGTGAAAGCATTTTGTAAGCTGCTGGGACTTATTCCATTATGTTCAGGTGAAAAAGTTGTCAATTGATCAAATTATATATCTGACTTAACCCTTCTTTACCAAGGTTTATTGAAAAATATTTTTTAAAACTTTTTTTTAAAAAAATATTTTTTAAAAGTGGCAGCAGCAATGTATGATTTGTCACAGGGCCCACTGTCACTCTCCTGGCTGCCTAGAGCACAGAAGCCCTCGGAGGGCCCTAGCAGCTGGGTGTCAGGGGTGAAGGCCAAGTGTCTAGATGCAGCCGTCTAGAGCAGTGTGATCCAACAGAGATATAATGTGAGCTACATGTGAAACTTCAAATGTTTTAGCAGCTACACTCAAAAAGTAAAAAGGAACAGCTGTATTTATGTTTAAAGTATATACAAAATAAATTACTTTCTTTTTTTTTCAAGATGGAGTTTCACTCTTTTTGCCCCAAC
The DNA here is from genome assembly GCF_000001405.40 of Homo sapiens. Lineage (NCBI taxonomy): Eukaryota > Metazoa > Chordata > Mammalia > Primates > Hominidae > Homo > Homo sapiens. The sequence goes on from NC_000010.11 coordinate 48,492,601, forward strand.
TGGAGTGTAGTGGCACAATCCTGGCTCACTACAACCTCCGCTTCCCAGGTTCAAGTGATTCTCCTGCCTCAGCCTCCCGAGTAGCTGGGATTATGGGTACCTACCACCACACCCAGCTAAATTGTGTATTTTTAGTAGAGATGGGGTTTCATCATGTTGACCAGGCTGGTCTCAAACTCCTCACCTCAGGTGATCCGCCCACCTCAACTCCCAAAGTGCTGGGATTACAGGCCACTGCACTCAGCCAAAAATAAATTACTTTCAATGGCAAAAACAGCAATTACTTTTGCACCAACCTAATATTTTGTTTATTCCAATATATCTACAATAGTAGCATTAATTTCAACATGTCAATTAAAATTATTCAGATATTATACATATATTTGTACAAAGTCTTAAAAATCTAGTGTATATTTAGCACTAACAACACATCTCAATTTGGACTAGCCACGTTTCATGTGCTTAGCAGCCACATGTGGCTGGTGGCTACAGTGAGGAACAGTGTGGACTGGGGCTGGCGGTGTATGTTGCCTTTGATGGGCCATTATTTTGCCAACCACACTCTCAGGCATCCTGAGACCTGCCTGTGTGTGTGGTGTTAGCCCTGGGCAATGAGCCAGCTGGAGGTTCCTGCACAGGATCCCTAGCGGCGGCCTCACCCTGCCAGATGTACCAGGCTGAACCTCCCTGCTGTCCTCCCAGTCTTCATTCATGTCTTTCATTTCTCTTTACCTGGTTGCGGCCACCAAACACCACTTCCCTTTCAAGGGTTAATCGCCCTCCCCAGTCTCCCAGCCTGGTCCTCACAGCCTGCCAGTGACTCCAGCTATCCACTTACCCCTGGGCATACGCCTGCTCCTCTTCAGACACCTGATGGGCCAGAAGGGCATGGTGTGGAGCAGCGGGGGCTGCAGTGAGAGGAGCAGTGGCCAGACACACCTGTTGGGGTGCAGAAAACCACCAGGTGCACGAGGCACTCCTCCACTGCAGGGCTGCGGCCACTCGGCTGCCTGTGTGCTCTGCCTGTGGGCATCAGGCTGAGGCCTTTTGTCTCTCCTGGGGAACTTCTGCATTTATCAGTGCCCGAAGGCTGGGACTGTCTGGGGCGGGGCAAGAAGGACTTGCTGGGATCCCCGCCAGTGGGAGGTCGGCGTGGTTGTTCTGCATCCGCATCTGTGCCTGCCACCCTGTGCACTTGTCCTGCTGTGTTCTTGACTCCCTGAGGTGGGGGGAGTGTCCATCCTATTTATCTGGCATGTGGGAACCCCAGCTCAGTGCCACTAGCTTTATGCCTCAGGGTTCTCTCCAGGTGGACCCACCCACCAGGTATTGGAGATTAATGAATGCATGGGAGAAGCCTGATGTAAGTGCTTATGCCACATGGTCTTGAGATAGTTACTTAATCTTTCTGTTTCCATTTTCTCATCAGCAAAACAAGGCCAATAACTAAACCCACCTCCCAGGACTGTGGTGAAGATGGAATGAGACCAAGAAGCCAGAGGCTGGGCACGGCACCTGCACGTGGTACTTGGTAAGCACCTCCGTATCCTCTAAGGTAGACACATGGTCTGTGTCACAGACAGAGAAGCTGACGCTCCGTGAGCTTTCAGTGGCCCAGGGTCACCACGCTGGGAAATGGCACAGCCAGGATTTGAACTCAGCTGTTGTGGATTCTGTGCGCCAGTCAGCTGCTGCCTTTATGGTGTCTCCCTTGCCTCTGGGACAAAGGGAGCAGGAAGCAGCTCCTTCACCTAGCCTGGTCTCCTCTCCTCCAGCAGCAGTCGCCCCTCCCAGGATGTGGTTTCAGGAGCTCACACCTCAGGCAGCCCTGGAGGGCAGAGGGAGGCAATGAGCACCAAACTTTGCTCAGTAAGTACAGAGCAAGGGGCTACGCCTGTGCCGATGCCACCTGTTCATCTGCCCATCTCCCCCATTTCTCCATCCATCTGTCCACTTGTTCATCTGCCCATCTATCCATCTGCTCATTTGTCTACCCATCTATCTATCCATCCATCTGTCCGTCCATCCATCCACCCATCTATCCATCCACCCATCTGTCCACCTCTCCAGCAAAGAAAAGCAGCCCCTTAAGGGCAAAGCACAACTGCTGGAAACCCTTCAGAGGGCCTACTGTTCTTGGAATAAAACCCAACTCTGATGTGACTGTGGGCCTCCAGGTCCCTCGGACCACCTCTCCTCCCCCGGCCCATGTCCTGCTGTCAGCCACTCTAGCACCCTCTCTCCCTCAAGCTCACCCTCTTCCCACCAGAAACTTTGCATTCTCTCAGGTGCTCCAAATGCCCTCCCACCTCCTTGCATGGCTGACTCCCTCTCATTTAAAGCCTCAGCTCAAATGTACATTACAGAATCCTTCCCTGGGTGAGAGCCTTCGTCAAGGAGCTGCGCCCTCCCACCCAATTAGTCTTACACGACTTTCTCTATAGAACTTATCCTGATTGGAAAGCAGCTTGTTTGTCTGCATACGTGTTTACTGCCTGTCTCTGTGAAAGGAATGTACGACTTATGAAGGAATGTATGACTGTTCTTCCTGGTGTCCCCAGGTACTAGTCTAGTGCCTGGAAAAGGCTCAGGGTTCAGTGAATGGCAGCAGTCACAGAGGGGGATGTGGAGGGCTCTGGGAGGTAACAGGCAATCTCTCTTAATTAAAATATCCAGCTTTGATTGAGTGCTCACCATATGCTGGGCATCATCCTAAAAGCTTTCGTGTTTTATCTCGATGTCCTCACAACCACCTGATATGGTGTTACAATGATGATACCCCATTTACAGATGAGAACACAGAGGCTACAGAAGGTTGAATAATTAGTCGAAGGTCACATGACTAATAAGATGTATCTTCCCAACTGCCCCCGGTCACCCAAGGGAAATTAGTTGCCAACTGGTGCCTAAAGCACTGGCCACTCACAGCCCACTCTTAATAGCTGAGGATCTGAATGCCCCAGGCAGTCTGGCTGCAGAGTGGGTGCTCCAGGCTCCATCCCTTGGTGGGCAGCCTCTGCAATGGCCCCCGGTGAACCTTCCTCCTGGTAGTCAGACTCTTGTGTAATTACTCCTCGTGAAGGTGGGCAGGACCTAATAACTTGCTTTTAATGAATAGAATGTGGCAAAAATTGACAGGATGTCACTTCTGAGATTAGGTCACAAAGAGACAGTGGCTTCCCTCTCACATTCCCTCGCTTGTTCTCTGGCTTGCTGGCTGTGTTGAGGCAGGCTGCCCTGCTGGGAGCTGCCCGAGGCGGAGGCCCACGTGGTGAGAAACTGAGAGAAGCCTCCAGAAACAGCCAGCAAGGGACTGTGGTGGTCTGTCCAGCAGCCCTCAAGGGACTGTCCCTTACAAATAGCCGTGTGATTCAGCTTGAAGTGGATCTCCCATCAGTCAAGCCTTCAGATGAGCCCACAGTTGCAGCCAATTCTGTGATGAGCCTGTGAGAGCCCCCAAGCTACAGGATGCAGCCAAGCCACACCCGGATTCCCGACCCACAGAGCTGTGGGATAATAAATGTTTGTGTTTTAAGCCACTAGGCTTGGGGGGTAATCTATGATGTAGCAAAGGTGATGTATGCAATCCCCATTTTGTCAAAACATAGCCTGAAGCACAACCATCCCCCTTATGGTCGGTTGTCTTCAGAGGCCTGGACAGTGGGGCTCTGGTGGTATGAGGATATACAATCCTCACATCTCTTCCTGTACCAATAAAGATGGGGACGGTAATAACATTAAATAACAACAGCAGCCTACTATGCGCCAGTCATGTGCCACATACACGCAATCACATAGACTATGGCATTTTATCCTCTCCATAGCTTGTGAGATAGGTGTCATGATTCTCATTTTACAGATAAAGAAACTGAGGCTCAGAGAGATGGACTTTGTTGCTCATAGTCACATAGGTAAGAACTGGAAGAGCAAGAATTCCCAGCCCAGAGCTGCTGCCTCCAGGGCTGCCTGTTCTGGCCGCTCTCTTCACCTTAGCTGCTGGGACCTGACCTCCTTCTCTAGGATCTTACCTAAGATCCTTGTCCCCGGGTGCCTGCTGAACAATCGCCTGGTGCCTGCCAGAATATCTGTAGGAAGACAGCCGGTAACACTAGGTAAGGAAGTCTGTACTGCCGTGTGCCGGTTGCTACTTTATGGAATCCCCCTCCTAGTTCAGTGCAGTAATGGAGGGGGGCTGCATCTTGCCCTATGGAGTTCACAAACCTGGCTGTGGAGGTGCTGTGTAGTACACCTCTGGAGATTGGGGGGTAGGAACCAAGGTGCCCTAACTGCCACTGGGCCGTGAGCTACTCACACTCGGCTTTCTCAGGTCCTAGCTCAGAGTGAAATGGGTATACCGGATTCCTTGGGGCTCTGTGCAGGGGGCCCAGGGCCCACTGCTCCATCCCCCAGGGCAGCACTGCACTGGGCCCTGGACCCTGACTCTCCCAACTGCCCATGGCTGGTCAGGAGAAACTGCATGCTGCTGACCTCCTAGGGGTTTGACACCTCCCACCTGCTCTTAGGTGGTGATCATGGGACCTGGACAATCCACTGCCTGCACATACAGGGCTAGGGTCTCCCATGGAAAAATTATCAAAACGGCAAGATGTGCTTACTCAGCTGCAAAAGCAAAGCCCACTCCTGAAGGAGAGCAGGATCCTGACCTTGTCTCCCCAGGGTAGGCCTTGGGCCACAGCTCTGTCTCCTTGGCATGGGTGAAGAGTAGGTGGGGTTCTCCAGGGCAGCTGGGCTTTCTGCTTCCTGCCTCCTCCTCAGCAGCGCTCAGCCAGGGATAGGAGGAGGCTGATGACTCACTTCTATGTTTCCAGAAAGTGTTTTTATTGCCATAAATGCAGAGAGAAAAGGAGATGCAGAAGGCAGAGGGGAAGGAGGGAAGAGGATGTTGAAGAGGGAGTGCCGGTGGTCAGCGGACGCTGTGTAAGGGGTCGGCTGTTTGAGGCCTCGCAGTGTGCTGCAGTACAAGCTGAGCAGTCTGGGGAGGAAGGAGCCCCTCCAGGAAAACAGCTCTGGAAAGAAGAGGCAGGGCACTACCGGGGACACAGGAACAAAGCCAAGGAAACCTGTGGTCTCACCATCCACCTGCCCTGTCTTCCAGGTCCCCCTTGGCCACAATACCTCAGTCCCAGGTGCAGCTCCTGCCACTCGCAGCAACTGCAAGGCCCAGGGGCTCAATAAACGGACCCCTCTCACTCTGCTCCATCCCCCAGGGCAGCACTGCAGTGGGCCCTGGGCCCTGACTCTGTCGCTGTCATGGGGTAGGAGAAGGGGGCCATTCCAGGGTCCTCCCAGCAGGCCTGAAGAGATAAAGGGCAGAATATCAGGAGGGGAGGCGATAGACTGAGAGCAGCAGAAACTTCAGGTGTCCATGGTTCCTCTAGGGCTCTGCCTCTGTCTATCCCTTAGAGTTGCTGTGTGTGTACTCCAGAGAAAGAGGATGCAGTGCCTCGGGCCGGTCCCCAACTTGCATAAGGCTCCCTGCGGGTAACATCTACCTTGGCCTGTCATCACGAGCCCACATGCTCTGTTTTCTGAGAAGAAAGATGTGATCCTGTGGTGAAAGGAGAAAGCTGGCCCGAGCAGGACACGGCCCAGATGAGTCTCCCATTACCTACTCTCGCATCCCTGCAGGGACCACGGCAGCCACACTGCATAGCTGTACCAGGGCACCTAGAAACCTGGTGAGTCCCTCTCCTCCTTGGGGTGTGCTGGCGAACAATGAAGGCCCCTGAACAAAAATACCAGGCACCTGTTGGTCCTCAGAGCCTCCAGGTGCTCCACATGATGGCCCTTCTGGCCCCTTGCCCAAGCCAGGAGCCAGTGAAGTGAAGTGGCCCACATGTAGAGGAAGCCACCCCAACACCCCCACCAGTCCCAGCACAAGGATTTAGAGCCCTCTGCATCCCCAAGCAGTGGCCCCGCTGCAGCCTCCCTCTGCCCGGCCCCCTGCCCTATCCTTTGTGGAGTTCTCATACCCGCTCTGCACACAATAGCACCTCTTGATGCGCTAGAGCCAAAAGTACAATTCTAGCTGGCGTAAGAAGGGCAGCAGCCACAGAGTCCATACTCAACATTTCAGAACCCAAAATGCCCAAACAAGCAGGCAATGACAAAAGCCAATCCAATACCAGAAGCAACATCATGACCAAAGCAGGGGAATGGGACACCAGGATACACAAAGGTGATGGAATGACAGGCAGCCATTGAAAGAGGTGCATACCTATCACTCATTAAAGAAGATCTGGAAAGAAATGAAAAGCAGTTCTATTTTACAGGCTGCCCTAAGACTAGAGATGCAGCCACCGAGACCCAAGGGGAGCTTCTTGGAGGGACATCTGAGAAAGGCTCCCTCCTGTCTAAGAAGGACTCCACCAAGAGACCCCTCTCCATGGAAGGGGCGTGTCCTGCCTGTTGGTCGCTTGGTGGTCATCTTGCAGCCACTCCGGCCAGCGAGCAGAGCCAATAGTCCAAAGCGGGTGAAGGGGCAGGGGGAGGCCATGTCCTCATTGACAGTGCTGGGGCCCCGAATCACCAGCCCGGGGGGCTGCCTCCCTCTGGGTTTCTTGGTCTGTAAGAATAACATAGCTCCTTTGATTTTGGAAGGTTACATGGGCTTTCCTGTTTCCTGCAGCTGGAAGCAGGATGGTACAGATGGCGTGAGAGCCACAGGCCGCCCACATAGCTGCACCACCTCCTCCCCAAGCTGCCAGGCATGGGCAGGCCTCGCTGGCTTGCTGGTGCACACTGGCGGCCTGCAGCTCACCAGTCTAAGGGGAAATCTGAAAAGACACTTGACAAAACTGAACATCCATTTTGATAAATATTCTTTGTTAAATGAGAACAGGTGGCTTCTTCACCTGGATATACTCAAAGCCAACACTGCATTCAGTGGAGAGACAATGGCACCATTCCCATCAAAGCCAGGAACGATACAGGCACGTCTAATGAAGCCCCTGGTATAGAGCATTTCCCTGGAAGGGTTCACCAACCAGACAAGAGAAAGAATGGAAAACTATGAAAGCTGGAGAGGAGGGTGAGCTGTTATTACTCCTGCTGTTAAATTATTTTTCAGGGTACTTGTTTATATGTGTGGAAGTTCTAAGTCAATGAACTGAAAACCCATCATAATCAATAAAAGAATCCAGTAAATCAACTGGGTGCGAAATTAATATATAAAAAGAACAATCTATTTGTAAATTAGGAGAAACAGAAATGCATTCTATGTATATAAGTAGGAAAATAGAGATGCCAGCAGCATAATAGAGATGCCAATTCTCTCTAATTTGGTCTATTAATTTAACACAATATGAATAGCATTTCTTTTTAAACCAGATAAGTTGATTCTTAAGGTTCATAAGCAAAAATAGCAAGTGCACTTTTGAAAGAAAACATAGTGAAGTCCGACCAGCCCAACCAATTATTAAAAGAGAGTATAGAGGCTAGGCATGGTGGCTCACACCTGTAATCCTAATACTTTGGGAGGCCAAAGTTGGAAGACTGTTTGAGGCTAGGAGTTCCAGACCAGTCTAGGCAACAGAGCAAGACCCCACCTCTGTAGACAATAATAATTAAAAAATTAGCCACGTGTGGTGGCGCACACCTGTAATCCCAGCTATGCAGGAGGCTGAGGTAGGAGGGTAACTTGACCTCAGCAGAGCAAGAAGCTGAAATAAGCTGTGATCTGAACTCCAAACTGGGTGACAAAGCAAGACTCTATCTCAAAACAAAACAAAACAAAAACAACAACAAAAACCTGAGTAGAGCTACTCAGTAATTAAAACAGCACTGGGTGGCATGACCAGAGAAAGACTCACACACATATGGGAGTTTGGAATGTTTAAGGAGCTCTTTCAAAGGGGTGAGGACAGGTGGGATTCTCTAATAAATGGGATAGGGACAATGGGAGAGCCACATGAGGAAAAATCAAGCTGAATCCTTATGTCACACCTTACAACCAAATAAAAATACACAATAGATCAAAGATTAAGGCCAGGCGCCGTAGTTCACACCTGTAATCCCAGCACTTTGCGAGGCTGAGGTGGGCGGATCACCTGAGGCCAGGAGTTCGAGACCAGCCTGGCTAACATGGTGAAAAAACCCCGTCTCTACTAAAAATACAAAAATTAGCTGGGCGTGGTGGCGGGCACCTGTAGTCCTAGCTACTCGGGAGGCTGAGGCAGGAGAATTCCTTGAACTCAGGAGGTGGAGGTTGCAGTGAGCCAAGACGACGCCACTGCACTCCATCCTGGGTGACACAGTGAGACTCCGCCTCAAAAAAAAAAAAAAAAAGATTTAAAGTTGAAAAATGAAACTATAAAAGTGCCAGGCTCAACCATGGGAGAAATTTTGTATAAAATTTTGGAGAAGGCCTAAGTATGACTCAAAAACAAGAGACCACAAAAGAAAATGTAACTACATGAAAGTTAAAAATAGTTGCAAGGCAAAGAAAAGAAAGTGAAAAGACAAATGGCAAAAGGAGAGGGCCCAGCTACATATCCATAAAATGGGATGCTTTGCAGGTATTAAAAAATGAGGGTGTACTTTATGCCCAGATTTGTTTGAATATGTACAAAGTATCTCTGGACAGAGAAAGAGAACAGTGGCTTTTTCTGGGGATGAAGGTGAGTGGCTGGAAGGCAGGGAAACAGGGAGACTGGCTTGTGCCTTCTGATAGTTGTACTATTTGTTACCTATTTTAAAAAACAAATGAAAATGAGGTTTAATATAAAGTGACAGGTGAAATGAGCCTTCTCACACCACGTGTTCCAGGTGTGTGGGTAAGGCCAGTGCAGGGCCCCTGAGGCCTCCCCATGGGAGGTGCTCTTGGCTGGTTTACCAGCATCTCAAGGGAGGGGTTGCAGCTGAAGGCATACACCTGATGGGGATGGTGAGGAAAGTGGGCAGACCTTCGAGCTGTTGCTAGAAGTAGATTTTGGTTTTGACAATCTCTTTGGAAGAATAATTTGAGATATATCAACATTTTAAATGACCCAGCAATCTATTCCTAGAAATTTACTCTTCAGATAAATTTGTACACGTGCATAAAAAGTTAGTAAACATAACTGGGAACAACTTAACCTTTCATCAAATTAAATAATGTATTGATTAAATTATGTACATCCAAAAAAAAAAAAAGAAGGTGGTGAAACTGTGTGAAGTGATACGGGATGCTCCGTTACTATGTGGAAAAAGTAAATGGATGATATATACTCAGAGGTGCATAGATCTGCATGCCTATTTCTGGAAGGAGGAGCTGGATACTGGGCCCCAGGCTAGCTCCCAGAAGAGAAGGGAGGGTCTCAGGAGCAGGGGAGGAGCAGCTTCCTCTCAGGAGAGGCTCTGAAGTGCTGGCATTGGATTCTCACAGGCACAGATGACTGTCTTGATTGAAGATTGTGTTTATTTTCATTGCTGAGAGAGTCAGGAACTTGTGTTTGGTGCTGGAGAAGTTAAGCCAGCCCTGTGTTTTGAGTACTTTTAATTTAGGAAAATGCCCCAAATGTCCTCCAAATGGTTTCAGCTCTGTTCCCCTTTCACTAGCTTATAATCATAGCAGAGTTTCACTTCTTAAAACCAGCCTCTCCCTAAGAATCTTCCTTTGTGATTCTGGGGATGCTGGGGCTTTTAGGGGATCAGTGTGTGATCTTGCCCTGGGCAGTACCTCGTGGGGGAAGGAGGACTCTGATTTTTCTCCCAGGGACAATTGCAGAAGTGAAGAGTGTGGGAACAGCTGGGGAATGCCCAGGCACTGCCAAGGGGTGGTCTCTGCAGTGCAGTCAGAACTTTCCCTTCTCCATTGAGAATCTTACATCATGGCCTTACCCTGTTGTCTTCAGGACACGTCCCAGTTTGCTGCTTCCCACTGGGCTCCTGCTTGATGAGCGGAGAGCACCTTTCCAGCCCCAGCCAGCTCTCCCCATCTCACCGGACACTCCAGGTGCCCTGCCCTCTTGCTTATTGCCAGGAAGCACCACATTCTTCATGCCTCCAGGTGTTTGCACATGCTGGTGCCTTTCCCACCTGGCCACCTGGCAAACTCCTACTCATTCATCAAGACCCAGCTCAAATATCCCTACTTCTCCCTCACCTTCCCCAACCGTTGCCCTTCATCCACTCCCAAATTTCCATATCCCATTCTTCCTCCCATAAATATTTATTGATGGTCTACCATGTGCCAGACACTGTGCCACATACTGGGGACACAGCAGTGACAAAAGCAAGAGTCTCTGCCTCTCAGAGAGTGGCCCGGTAGCGGAGACAGGCATTAACCAACATCATCAACAAACTCAAAGCAGTCAATGCTAGGAAGGATCCCGGGGGCCTACTGGGGTCAGGGATAAAGGCATAAATTCAGAACAGCATCCTCTCAGCCACCTCCACCCACGGCTTGGGCTCGCCTGGCTCTGAGGCTGATTGGACGAGGCCCCCTCGTCTCCTGACCTTGGAGAAGCCAGGACTTGGCCAGGCCTCCGCAGTAAGAATGCATGGCTGAGACTGGAAAACACCAAGGAACGTGGTGCCATCACCAATGTAAAAATATTTGGAGGGAGAAGAAAATAAGTTAAAACAGCAGCATGTTAAATGGAATATGTTAACTGTCAGCTGAAGACCATGTTCCGAAATGTTCAAGAGAGGGGTTGTGGGGACGAATGGTGGCCTGGTGGCTGATGTAACTGATGCTGAGTGACCTGGAGGGAATAACGGATGGCTCAACTCATTATTCTAAGGAACAAAAAAGGAACTAACATTTATGAGGCACCTACTCAGTGCCAGCTTCCAGTGTCAACCTGTCCAGTGACTCTGTGGAGGGGAGGGCTATTTATTTCTACATTGGTATAAACGATGTCAGTCTCAGAGATTAATGAGGCCCCACACCTGCTGCTGCGGCTACTGCTGCTACCGTCACTGGCACCACCACCCTGCTAACACCACGTACATGCTTTGTGAAGCTCCTCTCCCAGCAACTCTGGGAAGTACAGGCTATTATCCCGCTGTCCTTCCCTACCATCCCATGGTGCCGGGAGAAGCCCAGGCCACTGGGTGAACCTCCCAAGTCCAGGAGGCTGGTAAGTGATGGAACTGCAATGTGCATCGATGTCCCCTCCTCAGCCCAAGTCCTGCTGGCACCTACCTGGAGTGCCCCTTCCGGGCCTCCTGGGGTATGAGTGGTGCCTGCACCTCCCCTAACTCCTGCTGGAGTGCTCTGCTATGAGTGAACACATCAACATTTGCTAAATGAGTAACTCCGAGCAATGTGGCCTAATAGGAAGCAGATATGAACCCCGGCTGGCCTGTGCCTTTCTCTACTTTGGGTTGCTATTGAGAACGTTTTCCCCCAACTAACAGTGTGTCTTAACCTGGGTTCCCTAAAATCAAAGCCTGAGGAAAAGGTTATTGTTCAGGAAGCTATCCCAGGGAGAAGTGCGGGATGGGGAAGGAGGGATGGGAAGGAGGGAGAGCCCCACAGGGAAGCTGGATAAGCTGCCTGCTGCCCTGGGGGCCTGGGGACTCCATTTGGCCTCATGAAATGTGTGTCAGGACTGCCAGTCCTGGGATGAAAAGGGGAGGAAGGATCCCCTGGCTCCAGTCATCCAATGGCCAAGGGTGATCCCTGGAACCTTAGCTCCCCACTCTCCAGAGGGCTGGACCCATGCAGGAAACCTGAAGGGCAGGGAGGCTGATTCTTCCAGTGAGACCACAGGTACTTCCCAAGACTCTGGTGTGTGCAGGATGCTGTGCTTGACATATGGGGTGGCCTGGATGGGGTGTGTGGGTGAACAAGGGAGACAAGGCCCCCGCTCTCCTGGAGAACCAGCCAAAGGACAGGGAGCCAACCAAGGTGGCAGGGAGAGCTCAGATGGATGGGATAACAGAAATGGGGTGGGTCAGGAAAAGCCACTCTGGGGAGGGGATCCTCTGGCTGAGAACTCAGGAACAGCAGGGGCTGGCTTTCTTGCACAGATCTGGTCTGGGCACAAAAGGATGAGCAGGGGAGGCGGTTGGCAGATGGACAGGAGAACTGCAAAGGCCCCGAGGTGGGAAAACTCCTGAGCTCTTCTGTGGGGCTCCGTGGGCTGAGGAGGGCAGGAGTGGGTCAGGAGCTTAGATAGGAAGTTCTGGCAGGTGTCCAGGGGAGGGAAGCAGAGGCTGGGGCCACATGGGCTGGGATGCAGGTGGTGACAGGCACCCAGGCTCAGTGCCTATCTGGATCTGAGACTCAGCAGAACTTGCTCATAAGTTGGGGGTGAGCTGAGAGAGGGGGTGGGAAGAGTCCCGGTAGTGATGAATTGAGAGGAAATTTGAGAGCATGGGGTTCAAGCACCTGGGTGTGAGTGGAGCCTAGGCAGGCAGAGGGGCCCAAGCAAGCAATGGGGAGAGGGGGTGCCCCAAGTCCCACCACACCCTGCTTTCTCTGTCTCCAGAAACTACATTTTATTATTACTATTATTTTTTAAGACAAAGTCTCGCTCTATTGCCCAGGCTGGCATGCAGTGGCACAATCTCGGCTCACTCCAACCTCCGCCTTCTGGATTCAAGCGATTCTCCTGCCTCAGCTTCCTGAGTAGCTGGGATTACAGGTGGCTGTCACCACGCCCAGCTAATTTTTGTATTTTTTAATAGAGATGAGGTTTCACCATATTGGCCAGGCTGGTCTCGAACTCCTGATTTAGGTGATCTGCCCGCCTTGGGAAACTGTACACTTTAGACTAAATATAATAAATAAATAAAAATCAGTCTGTAATTGTAAGCATCAAACAAAATATGCTGGTGGCATCGCCCCACTCCCATCCCACTCCCCTAATCCATCCCCACCATGAGACCACGTCCAGCAGCTCCAAAAATACAGATGCAGGAGTCCCGTGCGCCTGACTCTGCTCTCCTGGCTGTCCTGCCAGGCTGTCTGCTCTCCTGCCACCGAGCCCCATCCCCAATTCTGCATCACAAAACCTCCCAGAGCCAGGCTGGAGGTGGCTCCAGAACTCCTCCTTGTGGTTGGGGCAGGACCTGGCTGGCCATTCCCAGTTCCTTCCTGGAAACCTAGGATGGGTGGATGGGGATCCCCTGGGAGGATTTTTGCCTCCCTAGAGGTGTGTTCAGACGGCTTCTCCTGGCTGGGATGGAGAGAGGGGTAGGCCAGGAGGGCTGCCTGGTGGAGGCATGCTGGAGATGTAGCCAAGGCCTGTAAGGAGCCTGTAAGGGCTGGTTGGAGAAGCTGCAGCCCAAGGGAAAGTGGCTTGACAAATGGCAGAGGCTGCCAGGGCCTGTGGCTCTCCACACCCGTGTTCTACCGGCCCAATACTCCGTATCCCAGTTCTGCCCCCTCTCTGGCTAGTCACGCAGACATTTGTTGAACCACAAAATCTATAGGCATGTGAGAAACTTCCCTAATTTGATTTGGCCACCACGTATCTCTCACCGACGCTCCTTCCCTCTTCACGAGGAGTTCCTGTAAGGTCAGGCAGCAGTGGGCCCTCCTCGGCAGCTGGGTGGGACCTCAGGGCCTCAGCAAATGTCCTTCCCACTCTTTTTCACTCAAGTTCTTTAGGTTCTTATAAAAACAACATATAGTCAGGCACCGCTTAGTGACAGGGATACGTTCTGAGAAATATGTCATTAAGCAATTTTGCCATTGTGCAAACCCCACAGAGTGTGCTCACACAAACCTAGACAGTACAGGTACTGCACACCCAAGCTCTATGGTACAGCCCATTGCTCCTACAGTACAAACCTGCACAGCATGAGACTGTGTGGAATACTGCAGGCAATAATAACACGGTGGGAAGTATTCATGTATCTAAACATAGAGAAAAGGTACCATGAAAATACAATACTATAATAGGATCACTGTCACATATGCAATCTATTGACTTAAACGTCATGATGTGGCACATGACTGTACTATTTTCATAAGCTGCCTCCTTCCTGGAGGCCAGGTATAAGCATCCAGACACGTAAGAAGTACCCTTGCTAGTGCTAGGATAGAAGTTTCACAGGTTCACTGTCATCCAGCACCATTCCCTAGCACAACACCAGGAGGCAGCCATTCACATGGTAGTCTAAGTGCATGCGCCCCCACCAAGGCAGCCACTCTCACTGTAGTCTAAATCAATGGTGCCCTCTGGAGGCAACATGGTAGCTTATGTGAATGGTGCCCCTAGAGTTATGTGACACGAGGGCCTAGATGTTCTCGCATTCAAGCCTGTAGACAACCTTCAGGAAGGTCTTATTTTTCCATTTTCTGCAGAAGGAAACTGCTCAAGCAAGAAGGCCAGAGCTAGGATTTTATGCTTTGTCTGCTAGACTCTTAGTTCAGCGCTATTCCCCTTGGCAAAGCTCACAGGGCTGGGGAGCAAAACCTGAACTCCTCCAGCCTCTCAGGGCCTCCCACGCCCCCCACCAGTACCCCAGCAAGATAGGGTTCAGCACTAATTTTGGAAAACACGCTAAAAAATGACCTTGTTCCCAAGCACCATCATCATCTTAGCCATCCACATGTGAACTTGCAGAGCCAGAAAAGCTGCCAGACCCAGGGTGACTCCTGTCCCTTCCATACACAGAGCATCACAGTAACACCTGGTTTATCTAGAAATCACCCATCTGTCAACCTCATCCATCTAGAGTCCAAGGACACGCAAAACAATGATTGGGAAAGGCCAAACAGGTGAAGGTCCCCTATGAGCCAAACGACTGACCTTCGAGGGCCTTACTTGGGGCTTGCTGACTCTTACTTTGCATACATTTCTAGCAAGTGCAGTTCACTGCTTTATGATATGCGTAAATTAGAACAGGCAGTTAAAAAAGGATTGGGAGAGCTGACAGAGGCAGCCATGCTGACATCAGGAGGTGATGGCTGACAGCAAGAGAAGAAACAGGAAATGCCAGGACTCAGAAAGGTTAGCCTTTTGGGGAAAGGGTGAGCAACATCAACATAAAAGTCAACCGTGCAGGCACACAGAGTGAAAAGTGAAAAGTCAGTCTCCCTCCTGCCCCACACCTCTGTGTGCTGGGTCCTCTCCCACAAAGTGGCACCTGTGAGCAGTTTCATGTGTCCTCATGGGACAGTCTCCACCCATGTATCCATGTGCTGAGGACACCAGGACAACAAGCAGTCAATCCCGAATTTGCTCACAACCTCAAGTGGGGGCGGCCACAGGCTAAAGAAATCACAAAACCTCCCATTTACTTTGTAATTCGCTTAAGGATAGGAAGCCACCAGTAACAGCCCCCACTCAGCCAGACACAGTAATTACACCGTGAGCAACTGAGGCTCGGAAATACTGGGGGGTGGGGGTGGGGTGGGGGTGGGGGTGGGGGGGGATCTGAACATAGAAATGCCAAGTCCCTTGCCTGAAGCCCTGTAGCTGCTGAGTCATGTGGACCTGCTTGTCTTGGAGGCACCTGCTTCTCGGGCCATCCCTGCCTTCCACTGGGATGGTCAGACTCCAAGTGTCAGGGCTCAAAGGCTGGGGTGGCCACTCTCCTTACTGAGGCGGGTTTTGTTCATTACATGGTAATGCTTTGAGAATCCCAAAACCACCTGTGGGACTTCAGCCTCTGGCCCAGCTTTCACCCCAGGCATATTTGGACTCCCAGGCAGAACTTCCCCATCAAAGGTCACTTTTCCTGCTGCAGTTGGGTATAACAGCCTCACCACTGCTCAGGTAGCGGCCATGTGTGCCTCATGACCAGCTGTTACTGGGGACATGTTGGGGACCTGCTGACGACAAGTGGCTATACTTTTAGAAAACTCAAAACTCCACTTCAGTGCGGCTGGCATGGCTGCCCAGCAAGGGCTGCTGTGTCCTGGCTGCCTAAGCCTTTCCCACCCGGGAGGGGGTCCCATCAGCCACTCCCAGATCCACTGTGAGGCCCACTGCAGGCCCTTGTCTTCAGGCATGGGCCAGGACCAGCAAAGTCACCTCCTTTTGGAGCCATGTCTGGCTGCCTATGCAACTCATGGGTAGGGATCCATGGGAAAAGACAAAAAAATGGGAAGTCATCAAACCCTTTGAACAGATGGGCCCACTGCCAGGAGCTCTAGCCACACCCGCATCCTGCAGGGCCAGGGAAGGCCAAAGCAGGCTGCCCAGCCAGGCAGCTGTGTGAGGAAGGGCCTGAGGGTAAATTGTATGGGAGGCACTGCCCAGGGCAGGGTACATTCACATAGCAAAGGCTCTGACAGGTCCAGAAGCTGGGAAAGCCCTGAAACTGCTCCACTTATCCCAGGTACCACAAAATGCATTGCTAACTAACAGTGACACCAATCAACATGCCAGAAGCAAGCGTTCCTAAGGATGCCTTGTGGGTACCACTGGGGCAGGGGAGAGAGATGCAGTTGGTGAGGATACCACTGTTATCTAATGGGAAACAGAGGTCTGCCCACAGGGGAAGGCAGAGAATGCCCGCGGCTCTGAAACTGAATGCTAAAGGCTTTATTCTCCTGGGTTCCCCCTGTTATTCTTTGCTCATTGTCAGTCCACCCAACTGTAGCTGAGCAGGCTCTGGGCTGAAGTCTGACGTCAGAGCTGGGGGTGTGGGGACAGCCATGAGAAGGGCAGTGGTCTCACCTGCAGAGTGCAGCATGCCATCCTGCACTCAGCTGGCGAGCCTGGCGCAGGATGTGCTCCTGGCCAGCGTGGGGGACCAGAGTCTCTGCTGGACCCCATGGGGCATCGCTCAGGAGCACCCAGGACAGGGAGGACACCAACATCCCCAGTCAGTGGAGCAGAGGGGACACCTCCAGCAGAGGCCAGAACAGGATGCCAGGCACAGCGGAGCTTTGTTCTGATGTCTACCATCGATGGCTGTGCAGACGCTCCATGAATGACACTGTTGTGGTATTTTAAGAAGATTCTACAAATAGCACTAACTTGGAATGGGCCTCAGAGCCAGGCTCATGAATGCTCAAGTCGAAGGCGGGCCAGCCTGGGAGCTCCAGCCAGGACAATGGGGCCTCACAGCAGAGGCAGGGCAGGATGCTGGGTGACCCTGGCCTCTTCCGGGGCTCCACAGCCTCATTTCCCCCAGACTCGCTGGGCCCTCCCCGCACAGCCCCATCCTCCCCACTATCAGTGCCTTCCCAGAAGGTTATTGGAAAGGAGAGGCTCTCTGAATAAAGGGAGGGGGCCGTGACATCCTTTCAGTGCCTGCTACTCCGGATTTCCAGGGACTTCCAGGCTCTGAAGACGCCCGACGAGTCATGGAGGAGGGGGCACAGGAAGGAAGGATGTTCTCAGATTTTCATCAGAAATCACTTTATTAGGAGAAACTCAAAGACCTGTAGTCCCACAGTCAAGAAGTACTAACAGAACGCTTTCCAGACAGTCCATTCTGGATACTTGGAAGACAGCCGAGAGAAGAGAAAAGAATATGAATTTTGGAGTTAGTCAGCGGTGGGTTCAAACATAGCTTCACCAGCCACATCTAGGTGGCCTGGGGCAAGTTTTTTACCTCTTGGAGCCTTGATATTTTCATCTCTTTAAAACCAAGGGCATTGCACCCCCTCGTGGGGACAGCTGAGAACCCAGGGCACAGTAAGCCCTCAGCAAATGTTGGCCTCTCTTCCTCCCTGAGTGAGAGACCACTGATTTAGCGCATGAGCATGCTCCCCCCATAAAACAGTTCTGTGCTATGGCTGAAAAACACAGCAGGCATAGAAGGAACTCCTCTTGACCAAGTGAATCTGCAGACATCAGGGCAGGCAGCAGGAGCCTAGGTGGGACAACAGAGAGCACTGGGGCCTGCGGCAAAGTAGAGAGGCTTACATCTAAGCCATTTTGTCCTGTCTGGTACTTGGAAAATGTCTTGAGACAACAGAGGAAAGATCATTTAAGAAAGCGGTGCCTGACCCCACCCCTGGCACATTCTAAACCGGGCTGCAGCCATGGAGCGGCTATGCCCTCCAGCTGTCTCAGAGGTGGCATGGAAGGGCTCGGCTTCCTCCCTGCACCCTCATCCTTGTCTTGAGTAACTCTTGTATGTACTGTCTCCACCTCCACCATTTCAAAGGAAGGAAGGGATAGCACTGCTCTGTGAGTGCTATTAGTGGCCTTGCACAGTTTTGTGTGCAGAACTTGTGCTCAAGTCACACAGACTAAACTAAAATGAAGTGAGGCAGCCTTGCTCAGAGCCAAGAGCACAGGGATCCCCAGACTCAGGGGCTGTGGGTGGAGTCCTAGCTGGCCCGCTGACATGCTGTGTGGCCTTAGTCAAGTCATTTAGTCTCTTTGGACTAAAAAAAATCATCTGGAAAACGAGAAGGCTGAGCCAGGTGATCTCCATGGACCTCTCCTCCAACCCCTCCGAGGCTGTATGTTACATCTAAAAGTAAGCGTGATGCCATCATTAGCAAGAGGGGGTCAGGGTTTGAACAGCAGATGCCCTCCTTGACTCTTCCCTGGTGGCTCTTCACTGGAATAGACCTTGCTTGTTTTTCAAACTGGACTGGAGCAGGATAGAGAGTGGCTGTTTGCAGGCAGGTGACTCCATGCACGGCACGGCAGCCAGGACCTCACCAAGTTAGAAGGTGCTGGTGTCTACAAAGGACCTTGGTTGCCCTGGCCCTCATCAGGAAGATGGTGTGTGGTACTGGTGGACGCACATCCTGCACAAGTCCTGCTCTCGGTGCCTTCGTGGCACACGGCAGCCCTGAGATGCCACTCATCCAGCCAGCATGAGACTGCGGCCCAGAGAGCTCAGGCACATGCTCAGTGGCACAGCAACAGTCAGGATTTGAGCCCAGGGTGGCCTGACCCCAAGGCCATCCACGCTGCCCCTGATTCTGCACCCTCAACTCCCAAGGAGCTGCTGCTCCCTCCACACAAGCCATGTGCCCCAGAGGGTGATGCAGGCCTCTCTCCATCCGACTCTCCCTATTGGTAAACGGAGGAAGCAGAAACAACCTAATCTCAAATACCTCTCCTTGCTCCAAGGTTCAGGGACTCTCTGCTTCCAGAAGTTGTTGATGCAGACTGGGTGCTGCTGGAAATCCTCAACAATGGCTCCATAGGGCCCAGGACTCATCATAACAAAGTGGCCCGTAAGTCCCCAGAAGAGGACTGGAGCGTCCATGCTGGGCCAGGCATGAATGCACCAGATACTTGATAATGACATCATTGACTGTTCAAGTCATAATGACTGAACAAATCCCAGGGTGGGGTTGCCTGGTCCTGAATGGCCCTGGCCTGTAAGGGTCAGCACTGAACCAGCTTGTCAAGATGAGCACTGAGTTAAAAATCCTCTCTGCCGCTTCTGTGGGCTCGCAAGTGGATCTGACTGTGACAGGCTGAAGAACAGCAGTCCCTGGCCACCTCCCCCAATTAGCCCCCAGTCTCAACAACAGCCTGAGCAGACTTAGTGGGCAGGGAGGAGGCTGCTCCAGGGACAGAGCCCTACCTCAAGAGGAACTCCAGTGGTGAGCAGGCTCTCTGCATGACTGATTCTCAGAGAGGAACCTGGATAGGCTGAAGCCACAATGGGGAAGTTTGTATCTGACCTTTAACTTCTTCCAAACTGGATTGACTAGGGGATGTCCCAGGCCTTTTGTTGCCAGTTTCATTGGCAAATGGCATATGCTGCTTTTCTTATTGTCCTTTGGTGTTCTCCATTGCTATTTCTCAAAGTGCACACCGGCTTCTCAGTTGTGTAGTATTAACATGAAACAGATACAAGAGCGCAGGCTCTGGTGCCAGATAGCCTATGGGAATCCCAGCCGTGGGTGGCCTTAGGCAGGAAATTGCACCTCAACTTCCTCATCTCTAAAACAGGACAATTAATAAAGTCCACTTGAGGGCTAGCATGAGGATTAAATGAACTCTACATAGAAAGTGCTTAAAACAGGGCTTGACGCATAATGTTTATGTGTTAAAAATGCTTTTATTTCAACAAAACAATACTGGTCTCATCACTTTTTAGCATTTTAACCTAAGCCTCAAGCCAAATAATAATCATTTCCATTTTGGGACATTTTCTGTGTGCTAGCAATCTTACACACAGAGGCCAATTTAACTCTTCCCTTAACACAACCTAGTGAGACATCCCAATTTACAGACAAAGGTATCCCTCTTTGGCTCAGAGAAGCATCCCATCCAAAGGCTGCACAAACAGTAGATGGCAGAGCCAGAATTCAGAACCAGGTCAGCCCAGCTCCAAGCTTCCAGAGCTTCCAACATTTCACACTGCTTCCTTGAGACCAAGCCCTCGGGTACCTTAACCCACCTCCATGTCACCACTTAGCATTTAGATAAAGATTAGGTAAGGGGGACAAGGCCGCATCTAGAGAAGCCTTGAGAACTTGCTCATATACCTTGGTATGAATTCATTTCTCAAAGATTCTCATTCCTAGAGCACTGTAAAAATTTGATCTGTTTTGCAACTTCTTAAAAAAGCCCCTTTTACAGAACATTGCTTTTTCTCTCTTTCTCCCCCACCCACTCTTTTTTAATCCCCCGTGCTTCCACAGACACTGAGAGAGCATTGTCATATTTGATCTGACTCAGAGCTCACTCTGCAGGAAAAGATCTAATTCCAGGGCATTTGTCAAAAACAATCAGCAGCAATTCCTTAACATTACAGCTGCCTAAAGCTGTGATACCAATTGGGGCAAACAAGAGCTGGCCAAAACTTGCAGATCTGGGGAAGGAGATATCCACTGGGGGCTTTGAAAACCCATGATATACTCCTAGAGATCCAGAAAGCCATATGCCTGAGCAGCGCTATGCCATTGTGGAGGAAAGACGTGAGAGGGCCTCTGTCTCTCATCTCTGGCTGATTTTGAGTCCCTGCACAAGCAGGAAGGGAAGACTATGGCAGAGTCACAAACTTCCTAAGCAATGGAAGTGTGCGCCAACACACAAACATACATGTGCAAACACACTCTCCTCAAAGGGTAGAAGACTTATTGCTTCAAGACACTTAAGTATATTTCTGACAAATCATTGGCTGACCAATAAACTAACCAAGAGACTTGGGTGACTGCATACAACAGGGAACACAGATTTAATTCAGGAAATTCACTAAACAAAATAGCTACAACAGCAACCTGAGGAGGGAAGGTAAATCTGATTTGCAGAGTTGCCACATTATATTATTTACAATGTCTAGGTTTCAACAAAAGATTGTAAGATACCCAAGAAAAATAGGTAAGTATGGCCCATACACACACAAAATAGCAGTCCATATAAACTGTCCTTGACCTAGATGTTATACTTACTAGATAAAGTCTTCAAATCAGCTACTGTAAATATGTTCAAAGAACTAAAGGAAACTATGTCTATATAATAAAACATAGTGTGACAATGATGTCCCACCAATTACAGAATGTCAATAAAGAAATAAAAATTATAAAAAGAAACAAATATAAATTCTGGAATTTAAAAGTACAATAACTGAAATACATAAATCACTATTTGGGCTCTAACAGCAGATTTGAGCTTATAGAAGAAAAAAAATCAGTAAACTTGAAGATAGGTTAATTGAGAATAGCCAGTCTGAGGTCCAGAAACTAAAAAATAATGAAGAAAAATGAACAGAACCTCAGAAATTGATGGGACACCATAAAGTGCACCAAAATACACAAAATGAGAGTCCTAGAAGGAGAGGGGAGAGAAAAAAGGTAGAAAGAATATTTAAAGGAATGATGGTTAGAACTTCCCAAATTTGTTGAAAAAAAGAGATTTACACCTAGACACATCATAGTCAAGCTGTCCAAAGGCAAAGAATCTTGAAAGAAACAAGAGAAAATACAAGAGATTCTCATTAAAATTAACAGTTGACTTCTCATCAGAAACCATGGAAACCAGAAGGCAACAGAACAACATTTTCAAAATACTGAAAGAGAAAAAAATGACAGTCAACCAAGAATTCTATATCCAGCAAAACCATCATTCATAAATGGAGAAGACATTCTCAGAGAACTAAAAACCAAGAATATTCAGTCCTTCGTCCTAGCTGATCAGACCTACAAGAAATCCTAAAGGGACTCCTTCAGGAAAAATAAAAGGACATTAGATGTTCATTGAAATCCACATTAAGAAATGAAGAGCACATATATAGTTAAAAATAAAAGACAAAATAAATGTATTTTTATAGCTCTTCTATTTAAAAGATAACTGCACAAAGCAGTACTTACAAAACTCCAGTAATTCATAAAGATATAGTTAGTATGGCAATAATGGCACCAACGAGTCAGGCAGCAGGGAGAACAAAGTTATATTGGAGCAAAGTTTCTGTAAACCACTGAAGTATTAATCTGAACTATATTGTTTTAAATTAAGAGGCTAATTGTAATCCCCAGAATAACCACTAATAAAATAACTAAAAGAATACCATGAAGAAACAATAAGAGAATTATATTGGTATGCTGGAAAATTTCTATCTAATACAAAAAGAAAGCAGTAATGGAGAAATAGAACAAAAAAGATATAACATGTATAGAAAACAAATTCCAAAGTGGCTAACATAAATCTGTATTATCAGTAATTACATTAAATATAAATGGAATAAATACTCCAACAAAAAGGCAAAGATTGGCCAATAAATTTTTTAAATAATCAAACCATTACTGCTTATGAGAGACACATTACATTAAAAAACACAAGTAGGTTGAAAGTAAAATGACGAGAAAAGATATACCATAAAGACAATACCCAAAAGAGATCTAGAGTGGGTATACAAATATCAGACAAAATTGACTTTAAAACAAAAATGTTACTGGATACAAAGAGGATGAACATTTTATAATGATAAAAGGGTAGTTGCAGGAGGAAGATAAAACAATTATAAACATATATGCCCCTATAAACAGAACCCCATAATTCACATGACAAAAATAAACAGAACGCAGGAGATTTTAATAATTGTTGGAGACTTTGATATCCTACTTTCAAAAATAAAACTAGGCAGAACATCAACAAGGAAACAGAAGACTTGAATAACATAAGGAATCAAGCAGACCTAACATACAACTGTAGAATGCTCCACCTAATAACAGCAGCATGCACATTCTTCTCAAATGCACACAGAACATATTTGAGGATAGACCATTTACTAAATCATAAAGTAAGCCTTAAAAATTTTAAAGGATTAACCAAAACAAAGTTTGAAAGTATATTCACTGACTACCAAGGAATGAAATTAGAAATCAATAAAAAAGGACATTTGAGAAATTCACAAATATGTGGAAACTGAACAACTCCCTTCTAAATACTCAAGAAGCTGATCATAGTGGCATCTGTGCTAGCATCTTTGGGTATTTAGGGGTGAGTTGGGACGTGTAGTCCCAACCATTCAAAAGGCTGAGGCAGGAAGATCGCTTGAGCCCAGGAGTTAGACGCAGCAGTGAGCTATGATTGTGCCACTGCATTCCAGCCTCAGTGACACAGCAAGACCTTAACTCAAAAAAAAACAAAACAAAAAACAAAAAAACTAGAAAAACAATAGGAAAAATTTAAAAATCTATAAAAACAAAAGTTGGTTCTTTGAAAAAATTACCAAGTTTGACAAACTTTAGCTAGACTGACCAAGAAAAAAATAAAATTATTAAAATCAGGAATGACATAGGGAACATCACTACCAAACTTACAGAATAAAAAAGATTGTAAGGGATAATATGAAAAAGAGTTTGTGGCCAGGTACAGTGGCTCATGCCTGTAATCCCAGCACTTTGGGAGGCCAAGGCAGGAGGACTGCTTGAGGTTAAGAGTTTGAGACGAGCTTGGGCAACACAATGAGACCCCATCTCTAAACTTTTTTTCATTAAAAATTAGCCAGGTGTGGTGGTATGTGCTTGACTCCCACCTACTTGGGAGGCTGAGGTAGGAGGATTGCTGGAGCCCAGAGGTTTGAAGCTGCAGTGAGCCATGATTGTACCACTGGACTCCAGCCTGGATGACAGAGCAAGACCCTGTCTCAAAAATAAATAAATAAATAAATAAACAAAACCTATAACTGTTTGCCAACAAATTAGATGACTTAGATAAAGGAGACAAATTCCTAGAAAGGCACAAACTACCAAAACCAACTCAAAAAGAAATTTAAAATTTGTATTACTGAACATTTTAAGAATTAATACCAAATGTTCACAAACTCTTCCAAGAAACAGAAGAAAGGGAATAGTTCTCAATTCTTCCTATGGAGCCAATAGTCCTCCGATATCAAAAACCAAGACATCACAAGAAAACTACAGACCAATATCTCTTATAAATACAGATAAAAAATCCTCAAGAAAAACTAGCAAAATAGAATCCAAATCTACTGATGAATGGATAAACAAAATGTGGCATATTCATACTATGGAATATTACTCAGCCTTAAAAAGGAATGAAGTAGCCATACATAGATGAACCTTGAAAACATTATGCTAAGTGAAAGAAGTCAATCACAAAAATACAATATATTTATTGTATGAAAACAGTTTCATGGTTGCCTAGGCTGCAGGGCTGGGGACGAGGGGACACGGGGAGGGTTGTTTCTGGAATGAGACATGACTACCAACAGGCATGGGGTTTCTTTCCGGGGTGATGACAATGTTCTAAAATTAGATTTTGGTGATAGTTGCATAACTCTGTGACTACATTAAAAACTGCTGAATTATATAAATTCAAATTCAATTCAATTCAATTAATTTCTATAATACATGAAATACACCTCAATACAGCTGTTTAAAAGAGTCCAGTGATAGGATGTTTAGAAGAGCCGGCAAAAGACAACTTAGGCAGGATAAGCATTAGCTACATAGCTGGCTGGGGGTGGGCGATAGGGAGAGATATTTTAGGGGTTCATTTCATTGAGGTGTTCCCCATTTTGGTTCCAGGATTCCTGGGGACCAAGGAGGGTCCCCTACAGGTACAAGGACCACAGAGTAACAAGATGAGAAAACACACCTCCAAGCCTCTTCTTCCTCTTCCCTTCGGGAGTTCAGACCTCTGAAGCTCTCTAGGAGACTTGCTGCCCTAAGGGCCGAGGTCAGGGACTTAGGGCTTCCTCAGGATTGGTTCCTCTCTGGAGCCATGAGAGCCAACCCCCTAACCCTGGAGGCCAGCAGCGTTGACCCCGGCTATGTGCTGTCGAGCCCCCACCCTCCAGCTGAAAGGCCACAGGACTCCTCTCCAAGCAGGTAGGAGGGGGTGCCGGGACTTCTCGTGTCCTGTTGCTAGGCACACCAGCAGTTCTGGGTTTCCTCAGAGAATCATCAAAGTTCAAGCCACCAGTGACCTAGAGATCATCGAGTTACGCTTGTTTCCCTCTTTCCAGATAAAGAAACTAAAGAAACTGAGGTTCTGAGTGGCAGGGAGCTGGGACGACTGCTGGCATTTCTGACAGTCTTGAGGCCTGCGTGCCTATCCCCATTGCAGGTGGGAGGGCAGAGGCTCAGAGGTGTGAGGGGGAGGCCTGGCTAGGAAATGAAACCAAATTTCTCTGCTGGATGCTGGTTCCCTTTTTGAAAAACCCCCAGGGCTGCTGTGCAGGACACCGAGTGGAGAAGAAGTCACAAAGAGCGGCCCTTCTCAGAAATCGAGTGGAGCCAGAAGCCTCAAGGTTCAGTCTCCTGAGCAAGGCCCGCAGGACGGCAAGGCTCGACCACATCCCAGCATGTGGTTCCAGGCCTCAGATCTGTCCACGTCAGCCCACCACTGCCTTCAAAGTCAAGTCAGACATGAGGGCTGCCACCTCGCCTGGCCTCTGCCAGCCTTCCCAGCAGCAAGCATAAGACAGAGTCTGCCCTGGCCTTCAGGGAGCTTCTGGCTCACTTAGTGAGGGAACAGATTGTGCAAAGTAATGACACATGTATATTTACACATTATGGTAAGTGTTTTAAAGGAAAAATACATAATGGCAAGTGAGCAAACAACAGGGGTCAGAAAAGGCCTCTCAGGAAATAGTGACACTTAGGCCCAGACAAACAAGGAGCAAGGTGACTTCAGGCAGAGAGAAATGAGGGAAGCAAAAGCAGGCCACGTGTGAGAGGAGGATGGGGATGTGGGGAGCTGGAGACCACATGGCCAGCAGCGTATGGCACTGAGAATCAACTGTCACTGCCACTGGAACCACTGAGCATGCAGTGAGCAAGTAGGGAGCAGTGAGACCCCGCAGGTGACCTGCACAGGCCACACTGGCTACTGGAGAAGGGACTGGAGTTGAGGAGGGTCCATGTGGGAGGCCTTGTTGGGAGAGGCCACTGCAGCAGATGGGGCTGCAGGTGCTGGCATAGCATAGAGACAGCAGAAAGATTCAAGTGCACTTTGGAAATAGAACTGGCAGGATGTGGGGATGGCAAATTGGAGGAAAAGGATGAAATTGAGAATTCAGTTTTAGCCCGATTAGCTTTGGCCAATTTCTAGCCCAGGAGACATCCAATGGAGGTGTCCAGGGGTCAGAGGCCTGAGCCAGGAAAGTGACTAAAGATTCTGATGAGTTTGCCAGCCAGAGGGCCGAGCAAGCAAGCAAGAAGCATCAGAATGTGCAGGCCCCTAGGGACAGGAGCAGAGACGGAATGGCAGAGCAGGAGGCAGCCACTGTGCTGGCCTGAGGACTGTGGCTCCCCGAATGCTGCAGCAGAACAGCAGAACCGGTCCTATCACCCAGTCAGTAACAGCCATGCCTCCTGACCTCTCCCTCCAAGACAGAGCAGGGCACTCTGTCCCCTCATCTTGCACCAGACCAGCAACAGCATTCCTGCCCAGGTCCACTGGCCTCTGTACTCTGGCTGCTGGGCACCCCAGTGAGCCCAAGCCTGGCAGAGCCTATACTCTGTCCACCAGCAAAGGGGCACAGGGTCTGCAGGAACCCATGCCCAGAGCTCATCTATTACAATGCAGTGATAAACACAGTGGACTGCCACTGGGATCTGCTGGGTGTTGGGTAACCCAACAATAGGCTGGGGCCAGCCAGCAGGTGAGCTCAATGGTTTCCTGTCTCTGCCCACACTCTGCTCTTGCTACTGTTCACAAGTACAGATTCTGTGCTAGTGTGGTGCCAGGCCACATAGGTGACAAAGTGATCCCCAGCGGCAGACCCAGGCTCACCGCACCAAAGGGAATGAAATGAACTGGGCCCGAGGGCTGGGGCTCAGAGATGGATTCGGGCACAGGCCACCTGCCCAGGCTCGACTGCCCTCAGGCCCATTTGATGGCATCTTGAGAGGAAGTGGTGTGGTGCGGAAACCAGAGAGGTGGTCTGGGGAGCCTGGGAGGGGGAGGGGGGAACACAGTGCCAGCAAGGCTGGGAAGCTGAGCCTTTTCTGCAGGCAGTCTGGGGCCAAGGTGGGGTTTGAGGAGGATCATAGTGTCTCCAGAGCTGTGGGTGGATGCTGGCTTGGGCAGTGGACTAGAAGGGGCAAGGGTGAACTCAGGATGGCCAGCCAGGAAGCAGTGCCATCAAGGCGATAAGTCGAGGGAATGCACAGGTGTTGCGGTGGCCTCCAGGGCAGGAGCACAGGAGCCATCAGCCATTGGTTGTGAGAAATGAAGAAGAGGGCAGGGTCGAGAGCCAGGAAAGCAGAAGAGGCAGTGGGAGTGCGGGACTGCACTGGAGTCTAATGAGGGGCTCTGGATCTGCAGGCCGCAGACAGGCACTGCAGAGCTTGGAGAGGGAATCTCGGAGGCATTTGTTTAGAGGCAATCACAGTCATCAGGGCCTTGAGGGAGACAGCTCAGAAGGTGAACAAACTTATAGCCAAAAGCCAGCAGGGCAGGGCTGCCTTCAGCCCTGGTTCTGCTGTTCTGCTGCAGCATTCAGGGAGCCACAGTCCTCAGGCAGCCCTCAGCAGCCCAGGAGGGGCCTAAGGGGAGCAGGCCCGCAGGTGCTCAGAGCGTCAGAACTGGTCATCTGGTCCAGTGCAGATGATCTCCTTCAAGGCAGAGCCTGACAGGGGGGCCAGGATGAGTGGGGAGGAGGACAAAGGGGATTCAGGGCTGGGCACACTGTTCCCTGGTGCTGGGAAAGGAGGGGAGGAACAATGGGCAGGGCTTATGGAGCATAGACAGGGACAAGAAATTGGTCTTGTTGGTTTTGTTTTTGAATTTTTGGTTGAGCAACTCAGGCAGGTTTATGGGCTGACAGGAGTTGACGGGAGGGAGGGTGAGGATGTCGGGAAGAGCATGGGACCTGGTCATGGGCAAAACCCCAGAAGGCAAGGAAGAGCTGCTGCTGCTGAGAGCAGCAGGAAGGGTGAGGGGCGAAGAGCTCCAAAGGCAGCTGGAGATGAAGCGGTGGCAGAGAATGAGCACGTGTCAGGATCTAAGGGCCTACCAGTCCGCTCCTGCCCCTCGCTGCCCTGGAACAAAGCTGACTCCATGCTGTGCTCCAGTACCACCTTCTTCCTCCAAATTTCCACCTTGGGTAACAATGCAAAGCTGAA
Source organism: Homo sapiens (assembly GCF_000001405.40). Classification (NCBI taxonomy): domain Eukaryota; kingdom Metazoa; phylum Chordata; class Mammalia; order Primates; family Hominidae; genus Homo; species Homo sapiens. Next base: position 48,520,976 of record NC_000010.11, read on the forward strand.
GAAAATGAAATTTGCCACCAAACAGACCCATCACAGAGCTCTAAATACAGATGCACCTGGAAACATGCCCCAGAAACAATACCCTCGGAGTTCAGACAAGTACATGAGCCCTCTGCTTTTAGAGGAGGCTTATCCTCTACAAATCAGATCCTGCTCACTGACCTTTCAGCTTTTTGGGAGCACCTGGAACCCAGGATTTCTCTATTTGTGAAAACCTGTCTTGCATATGATATTAAGTGGGATTAATGTCACAGCATATCACACCCTCCCCTCCCCGAAAAAGGCACGCAACAATCCCTTCCCGGACCCACTGTGCCCACCTACAGCTTTGCAGCCAGCAGGAGAGCAAGGGGCTCCTGGATAAAGCCCAGGATTTGGGTTTTAAAGGCGTGATGATGACACCTACTAATGTGGCTCTGGCTCTTGATATATTTTTGCTGCTCTCTTCATGAGATTATAGAATATTTCAGCTTTTCTGCTTTATCAAGTAGATTTTTACACAGGGACAAACATGCTAAAATGTTCTGTTGTAAGAGTTTGATTCATCCAAGAATGAAATCAATAAGAACAACTGTTGTCTTAGCTGTTGCTTTAATTGAAATGATATCAATGATTAATGGACTCTCTTTCAAGCTTTTCTTAAAAAAATGCACATACACATCTCTAGGCTAGAGAGTCAGATAGCTCCTTAGGTGGGTGGCAAGAGCTAAACACACACATGGATACATACACAGACATACTGTGTTACTGCTATTACAACCGAACAGTTTAATGTCCAAAGCAGCATTTCTCAAAGTGTGTCCACACATATGTGTGCCATGAAATGCTCTATGAAAAGAAGGTTCCCTAGGGAAAGGTGTGGAGACCATACCTCCAATCCACCTGACTTAGCAGGCACAACTGTGCCAGTGTGGCAAAGGCTCTGTTTGCTGTGAAAAATCTTCCAAACTTTCATAATTCCTTATGTCTAAGATTATTTGACCAAATAACCCTTCCCGTGTTTATTGCAGAACTAATTGTGAACAATGGTTCAGACTGTCCGCCACCCAGCCAGACTGGCCACATGGGTTCAAATTTGTTAAATGAGCCTGCAGCATTTAAACCCTTGGAGACTTTGTACACTAAGACATCAAACATCTGTCTTCCTTGAACCTCAGACTCTCCAACAATTGCATGGGTTCTCTCCTCCCTGCCAGACAGTGGCTGGTCATCCACTCTGGCACCACAGCGCTCCCCACCCACTTGGCCAGCTTGGCTAACTTCCATGGGCTGCAGAACCTTGTAGGCACTTCAGACTCAGTGCCTACTCCCAGGCTGCTGTGGCCAGCCATCTCTCGGGTAGGTGGGAGGGTAGGGCCCAGCTGGGGAACACTCCCAGACCAGGCTTTTTCCTTACCTGGACTGGTGAAGCCAGCAGCTGGCCTTGGGGGTCCACAGCCCCAGAGGACAGACCTAAGCAAGAGGAGGTGCCCCTGGCTCTCTTCTGAGGCTGCTTAATGAGTCTATGTCCTCTCTAACCAAGACTTTGTAAATCCACCCTTGCTTTTGGGACACTCTTTACCATGTTTACTGAAGAGGGGTCAGGAGAGACTAAAGCTGCTCGTCCAGGCCCTGGCGGGGGTGAAATCCTGGGCTCTGACCTGCCCTCGGGGAGCATGCAGCAAGACCTTGCCCTCTAAACCCTACTGCAGCCCTAGCTATTGTCATAGTGAAGACACCACACACAGGGCTCTCGGCCCCTGCTTCCAAGAATGAAGCCTCATGTGCAAAATTCTTTTTCATTCTTTCTACAATCAGAAGCTGAGGAAACTGTTGCTCTGGGACAATGAGAACCTTGCAACTACAGCACTCACATTTTTCACTTGGTTTTGGTTGCAAAGAGGCTCAACCACAGATCATACCTCATAGCCAGATTAACTGGGCTCCATTTTCCCTTGACCTCTCTACGTCCTGTGTAAATGTGGGGTCCTGTTTAGGTTTTTAAATAGTTAAGTATTATATATGTTATAAGCTACTTCAAACCCTTTGTGAAACCAGCCTGTACATTGATGGCACCATTCTCACCTGGACAAGGTCGAAGGCTGCCTGACCTTTTCTGTATCTGGATGCAGAATACACTTTTCGGAGGAAGGAAGACCTAGTGCTCATTCTGGCAGAGCCTGCCTTACCCTATATGGTTTACAGGCAAGGCTTCCCAGACTCACCTGGCCATAGGAGTCACTTGGGGAACTCCTTAAACACACAGTTTCCCAAGGCCTTCCCCAGAGCCTATCCAGCAGGCCAGGGTGGGGCCTGGGAATCTGCATGCTTAATAAGCGCGGCAGGTGAGTGTTAGGGTCAGGTGAGTTTAGGGAGCGCTGCAGTAAAGGGATGCACCACTATGTTCCCAACGATCAACAGGGATCATTTCAGTCAGTCAAGGGTTAAGTCGGCCGGGCCCCAGCCCCCGGGAGGCCGGACCTCCGGCGGCCGCCAACGTCCTAAGCGTGTTTCTGGGCTTTGGGCCCTCTCCAAGACTGCTGCATTCCTCAAGCAGCTCTGCTCGCAGGTTCCGCCGCGAGTTTTGGAAAACTCTGAGTCAGGGCCCCACCGTCCAAGTTTGTGACAGAGGCGGGCGAGAATGAATGGTCCCTCTCCCGGCAGTTAAGCCGCAGGGGCGGCGCAGGGCGCGCGCCGGGCTCGCGGTGCAGAGACCTGCGAGCGGGTCTGGGCGCCGGGGGTTCCTCCGTCCCGGCCGTGGACTTGGCGGACCTGCAGCCGGCGCCGCGGCCAGCCCCGGGCCCTGGAGGGCGGACCCTCCCCTCCGCTCTACCCACTCCCGCCCAGGGGCCGGACCCCACCCCCACTCCCACATGGGGACCGAGGAGCCCCAGGATGCGCCCCCGCGCCCCGAGTGAAGGGGAGCCTCCCCTTCCAAAGTTAGGAGACTCAGAGGAGCAGCAGCCGCACCTGAGCCCTTTCCAAAGCTGAGGCAGGTGCGGGCGGCCCTGGACACCCCGTGGCGAGTCCCCGAGGCGGGGCTGGCAGCCTCTGGCGGCGGCCGCAGGGAGCGGGGCGCACGTGCGCGCCGGAGTTACCTTTGGGCGCTCGCAGGTGTCCCCTCCAGTCCTTGCAGCAGCACAGCCCCATGGCAGCCGCCCGCGGCCCCGCCGCTCGGCTCCTCTCCCCGCCTGCCGCCTGCGCCCCGGGGCGGCGCGGCCGAGGTCCGGCCCACGGGCAGTGCCCAGCTGGGCGCAGGGTGCGCGGGACCGCCGGCCCGCGGCTCCCGGGCCCTCACACTCCACCGCGGCCCCGCGCAGCGGGCATGCCGGCCTCCGGGCAGACCCTGCTAATCAATAGGAGAACGCGCAGATCGCGACCGCCGCGCCACTGCCCGCTTTTATCTCCGCGCGCCGGGGCGGCCCCGCGCTGCTCCCTGCCCTCGCCGGCGCCCTCCCCACGGCCCGTTACTCTCCCGGGGTGCCGGGCCGCGCGCTCTCCCAGGAGCCGCCAGGGGGCGCCACGGAGCCGGGGCTGCCTCCGCCTCCCTGGGAGCCAAGCAGGGGTGGGGGGCCACACCGGCCTGGCCTCCCCGCGCAGAATGGGAAGAAGGGGCGCCCTCGCTGTGCAAGGGAGACGCCCCCAACCCCACCAGCATCCTCTGGGCAGTCATCTCAAGGGTGACTTTGTCGGGGGTGTTCAGGACCACCGAGCTCTCAGTTTCCCAGCTCACCTGTACTGTGCAGTAGTAGGAAGAGGGAGTGTTTGCCCAGGCTACCCTCAAACCTGGCGGGCTACTTATGAGCTGTGTGACTTTGGATAAGTCATCTCCCCTCTGAGACTGTTTCCTCACCTGAAAAGTGAGGAAAATGATACCGGTTCAGATGCTACTTAGCACAAATTAAGAATTAAGTTATTCAAACTCTCTCTGTGCCCAGTTTCCCCACCTATAAAACAGAGAAGATAACAGAAACTGCTTCACCGGATGGTTGTGTCAATTAAATGAGTTGATATATACAAGGACTTAGAACCCAAGTGGCCTGTAGGTAAGTGTTTTGCAAGTGTGAGCTATCATCATCATCAAGTCTTGGAGAGGATTTGGGCACTTTTTCATGAGAGTGTGTTCGGTGCAATCACCTTGGAAGGTAACATGGAAGCTGCTTTATTAAAACTAAAAATGCTGCTGCCTTGGGAGCAAGCTCATTTCTTAGTATGCACCCCATGGAAATGTGTCCCCACATGCCCAGGAAAGTCTATGGAAGGCTATTCATGGCAGCCTTGCTTGTGATTGCAAAAAGTTGGAACCACCAAAATGTTCATCAGTAAAAGAATCATCGGCCGGGCATGGTGGCTCGTGCTTGCAATCCCAGTACTTTAGGAGGCCAAAGTAGGTGGATCACTTGAGCCCAGGAGTTTGAGACCTGCCTGGGCAACATGGCAAAACCCCTTCTCTACTAAAAATACAAAAATTAGCCATGCATGGTAGCGCACACCTGTAATTGCAGCTACTTGGGAGGCTGAGGCATGATAATCACTTGAACTCGGGAGACAGAGGTTGCAGTGAGCCGAGATTCGGCCACTGCACTCCAGCCTGGGTGACAGAGCGAGATTCTGTCTCAAAACAAACAAACAAATGAAAGAATTATCAAGTACACTGGAATTTTCATAAGATGGTATATGATATAAAAGGAGAGTGCTATGGCTGAATGTTTGAGATTTACGGATTCATGGCACTTATGTAAGACACATACCCATACTCACAAAATATTACTATAGTGTTCACTCTGTACCATGCTCTGTTCTAGGCCCTTGGGCTTAGAAAAATATATGGGAGGAAAACAGGAAACCAAGAGTGGTTCCCTTTGGGGAGATGGTGGAAGAAGAATGGAGTAAAGTGGGTGTCAAGAGACTTTGGCTTTTTTATAATGGCCTCATTCTGTAAAAGGAAAGCATAATCAGGTATTATTGTGTAATTAAAGTAAATAATCAATTTACTTTGATTGAGATAATTATATTTTTAGGTGTTTGGCACAGAGTAGGCTTCTTCATGTAAGGTTCTTTGTCACCCCCCAGTTCCTAGGATCTGTTCCTAACCCTGAAGCAGGGCTGTGGTCCAGCTCTGATGGCCTTGACTTGACTGGAATTTTCTCCCTCCCTCCCTACCACAATTCCATTTGGGGAGAACAGAGGTGGTCTCAGAGGAGAATCTCAGCAAGGGCAGGCTGGAAAGCAGAGGCTGCCCAAGGCACGGAGCAGAAGAGTTAAATAAATGTGGGGGCAGGAAAGAATGACTTAGAGCAGGGAAGAGGTTTTCCCAGGAGTTAAGTCTTCATTCAAAGGAGAGATTAACAAGAGCAGGGCAGATTTCTGCCTCCCTCCCTCTCCTTTAACTCCTCAGAAAGACCAGGGTGAGGCTTCGGGGAGAGAGAAGGGTTTTCCTGCGTTAGATCCGGAAAGAAAGATGTTTTCACTTCATGACACATAGGTGGGGGTTACAAAGAGAGAGTAACTGAGAAAAAACAGAGAGACCTGACTTCTGGTTGCTGCCAAGTCATTTTAAACAGTTTTAGCACCAGGCAAGATCACTTAGTCACAGCGGGCTTAATGAGGCCCCAGGAATTCCAAGCTAGAGCTCCCTGCATTCAGGGAGAGCATCTGCGGGGAGTGAGCCCCTCGGGTGATTGTCCAACGGCCAAGTCCTACATTTGGAAAGCAAGATTTAAAAGAAAACATCACAGCGGCCATTGTGGGCCGCTTGTTTATCTTTCTGAGAGGAAGTAGCAAAGCAGGATCGTTTCAAATGAGCCTATTATAAAGGGTCAACGTCCCCATTGAACCGTTTAAATATATTTTGGGATACTCGACTTTTCAAAGCGGCTTTAAATATCAACTCCCAAGGCAGTTCAGCAGACAAATAGGAAGGCAGGGGCTTCTTGTTTTATTGCCTTTGGTTTCACACACTTTAATTCCTAATTACACATTGTCTTTTTATAGTTTTTTAGTTGTGTGTCCTTCCTCAAGGGGGAAGGAAAATAACATTCACTATGTGTTTCCCACCATGTGCCAGGCAACTCACAAAGGTTATCTCAGTTAACCACAGGACAACCGCATGAAGCAGATGCCATGAGATTCAATTTACAAAGGAAGAAACTAATGTTCAGAAAGGTGAAGAGACTTGCCCAAGACCAATGAGGTAGTAAGTGGCAGAGCCAAGATGGATGGGTGGATGAATGGATGGGTGCATGGATGGATGGATGGGCAGATGGATGGGTAAATGGATGGATGGATGGGTGGAAGGATGGATGGATGGAGTAATGGATGTTTGGATGGAGGTGTAGGTAGGTGAATAGATGGATGGATGGGTGGATGGTTGGTTGAATGGAGGTGTGGATGGGTGAATACATGAATGGATGGGTGGATGGATCGTTGATTGGATGTAGGTGTGGATAGATGAATAGATGAATGGATGGGTGGATGGATGGTTGCATGGAGGTGTGGATAGGTGAATAGATGGATGGATGGGTGGATGGATGGTTGGTTGGATGGAGGTGTGGATAGGTCAACAGAATGATGGATGGGTGGAGGGATGGTTGAATGGATGTGTTCCATAGGTGAACAGAAGGAAGGATGATGGATGGTTTAATGGTTAAATAAACAGAAGAATGGGTAGTTTTCCCTAGTTAGGCCTAAAGTCATGGGCTGCGACTGGCAAAGCACCCACTTAGCATAGAATTTGTCTGAAAAATCAAATTTTCTGAACATAGCTCTGCCACCCAAATTGATGATGACCCCAAACTAACTAGAATTTAGCCAAAACATCAGGATCACATATGCTGCAAGGCTCTAGCTGTGCTCAAGCCGCCTTGCTCCAGAAGAAGGGCCAGAGGTGGGAGCCTCTAGGACATGTTTCCCAGCAGGAAGGCCAGCCTCCAGCCCACCACCAGGCACAGGGCAGAAGAGATAGAACCAGGGGGTGGATATCCAGTGGGCACAATGGGCTCTGGGAGGAGGCTGGACACCAGCTTTGAGGACAAAGTTTCTATGGGATAGAGGCTGCCCCATTCATCCAGAGCTCTACTTCCTGCCACTTTACTCCATTTCTCTGGGAGACCCACAGTTGGGTGGTGAGAATGTCAAGCTGTTTCTAGGGGGTGCTGCTGCTGCTGGGATCCTGAAGCCTGTGCAGCCTGAGCCCCTGGTCCCAGATATGCCCCAGGTCATTCAAGGATTTTCTTAGGAGACTCAGGACCTGCCCTCCATAGTTCCAATGCAGGAGTCTGGATTGCTCCTCCCCAGAATATCCAAGGCACCCTCACAGCACTATCTCAGGTGTGAGCTCAGCCCTGGGTAGCTCAGAGGAAGGGAATAAATGGGAATGTACCATCTTAGCCACAAGCATAGCTTAGGGAGCCTATAATGATCATTCTTTCCTTCACTCATGTACAAATGATGACTGAACACAGCTCAATGCCTGACACAAGGCCCAATGTGGGGCGGGGGATAGGAGGTTGCCCCGGGAGCTGTAGGGGACAGAAAGCCAGTCTGCCGAGGGTGGTAAAGAAAACTCTGCAGAGGAGAATGCTTTGAGGTGGGACCTGAGCTGCAAGGAGGGGTCCAGCACCTTAGGGGACAGCACAGGAATGGTCCCTGATATGGTGTAGACGTGTGTCCCCTCCAAGTCTCATGTTGAAGTATGACCTCCAGTGTTGGAGGTGGGCCTAGTGGGAGGTATTTGGGTCATGGGGCTGATTCTTTATGAATGGCCTGGTGCCATCCCTGTGGCAATAAGTGAGTTCTCACTCTGGTAGTTCACATGAGGGCTGGTTGTTTAAAAGAGTATGAGATCTCCTCCTTTTTCTCTCTCTCTCTCTCTGTCTGTTACTTTCTTGCCATGGGACACATATGCTCCCATTTGCCTTCTGCCATGATTGTAAACTTCCTGAGGCCTCCCCAGAAGCCAAGCAGATGTTAGTGCTATGCTTGTACAGCCCGCAGAACTTTGAGCCAAAATAAACCTCTTTTCCTTATAAATGACCCAGTCTCAGGTATTCCTTTATAGCAATTTGCATGGACTAACACAGTCCTCCAATGGGTGCAGTAGTATCCCATTAAGAACTTGCTCTTTACTTGGGTCAGGGGAGTCACAACATGGCATTTAGGGTAGAAGACATGATGCAGCCTGTGATTCTGACTGGCTAGCCTGGTGGCTAGAGCGAGATAGGGACTGGAAGGGGGAGACTGGAGCAGAGAAAAAGCAAAGATGCAAAAGGCATAAGCCAGGTGAGAGATGTGGGCCGAACACAGGTTGGAGGAGTTGGAGACCAGGCAGGGCAATGTGTTAGCTCAGGGGCCCCAGCTAACCACACCTTCCAGTTCTTGCATCTTATGTAATCCCCTCCCTCGAATCTAGGCTGCCCTATGAGCTGCTTTAATTGACAGAAGGTAGCAGAAGTGACTCTGGACCAATTCTGGGTCTAAGTCCTAAGAAAACTTGGCAGCTTCTGCTTTTCCCTGTCGTCAGGGAAAGCACCCCCTTGTAAACAGTGGAATTGTCCTGAGACTGTTGTGCTGCAAGAACCCCAACCTAGCAATGTGGAGAGGCCAAATGGAGAACTGAGGTCCAAGCCAGCAACCACACTGACTTCCAGCTGTGTGAGTGAGGCTGTCCTGGAAGTGGATTCTCCAAGTGATACCATGTGGAGCAGAGAGAAGCTGTCCCCACCAAGCCATGGCCACACTGCAGAACAGTGAGCAAATAAAATGTGTTTTGTTTTTAGCATGGTACTGGTATAAAAATAGGCATATAGACGATTGGAACAGAATAGAGAACCCAAAAATAAAGCCAAATACTTACAGTCAATTGATCTTCAACAAAACAAACAAAACATAAAAGTAGGGAAAGAACACCCTATTCAACAAATGGTGCTGTGATAATTGGTAAGCCACACATAGAAGAATGAAACTGGATCCTCATCTCTCAACTTATATAAAAATCAACTTGGCTGGGCGCGGTGGCTCACGCCTGTAATCCCAGCACTTTGGGAGGCCAACGTGGGCAGATCATCTGAGGTCAAGAGTTCGAGACCAGCTTTGCTAACATGGTGAAACCGCATCTCTACTAAATATACAAAAATTAGCCAGGCATGGTGGTGGTCATCTGTATTCCCAGCTACTTGGGAGGCTGAGGCAGGAGAATTGCTTGAACCCAGGAGGCGGAGGTTTCAGTGAGCCAAGATTGCACCACTGCACTCCAACCTGGGAGGCAGAGTGAGACTCCATTGCAAAAAAAAAAAAAAAAAAAAAAAAATCAACTCAAGATGGATCAAAGACTTAAACCTAAGACCTGAAACTGTAAAAATTCTAGAAGATAACATTGGAAAAACCCTTTTAGACATTGGCTTAGGCAAAGACTTCATGACCAAAAACCCAAAAGCAAATGCAACAAAAACAAAGATAAATAGATGGGACTTAATTAAACTAAAATGCTTCTGTATAGCAAAAGAAACAATCAGCAGAGCAAACAGACAACCCACAGAGTGGGAGAAAATCTTTGTGATCTTTACATCTGACAAAGGACTAACATCCAGAATCTAAAAAGAACTCAAACAAATCAACAAGAAGAAAACAAACAATCCCATCAAAAAATGGGCTAAGGACACGAACAAACAATTCTCAAAAGAAGATATACAAATGGCCAACAAGCATATAGAAAAATGCTCAACATCACTAATGATCAGGGAAATGCAAATCAAAACCACAACGCGATACCACCTTACTCTCACAAGAATGGCCATAATAAAAAAATAAAAATAAAATAGATGTTGGCGTGGATGTGGTGAAAAGCAAACACCTCTACACTGCTGGTGGGAATGGAAACTAATACAAAACCACTATGGAAAACAGTGTGGGGATTCCTTAAAGAACTAAAAGTAAAACTACCATTTGATTCAACAATCCCACTACTGGCTATCTACCCAGAGGAAAGTAAGTCATTATATGAAAAAGATACTTGCACACGCATGTTTATAGCAGCGCAATTCGCTATTACAAAAATATAGAACCAGCCCAAATTCCCATAAATCAAAGAGTGGATAAAGAAAATGTAGTATATAAATACCATGGAATACTTCTTAGCCACAAAAAGGAACGAAATAATGGCATTTGCAGCAACTTAGATGGGACTGGAGACCATTATTCTAAGTGAAGTAACTCAGGAATGGAAAAGCAAACATCGTATGTTCTCACTCATAATTGGGAGCTAAGTTATGGGATGCAAAGGCATAAGAATGATACAATGGACTTTGGGGAATTGGGGGAAAGGGTGGCAGGAGGCTGAGGGATAAAAGACTACACATTGGGTACAATTTGCACTGCTGAGGTGATGGGTGCACCAAAATCTCAGAAATCACCACTAAAGGACTTATTCATGTAATAAACACCACATGTTCCCCCAAAACCTATTGAAATACATTTTTTTAAAAAAGGAAAATATGTGTTGTTTTAAGTCATTAAACTTTGGAGTAGTCTGTTAGGCAGTTACAGATAGCTGAAACATAGGAAGTGATGCAAAATCCTTATGGCTAGCACTGCCTGGCCCTGACAATGTGCCAGGCTAAGAGCTTGACATGTGCACGTTCACTTAGAATTCAGAGCAATCCTATGCATTCGATGTCATCATTATTTCCACTTGCAAGAGGAGGGCACCGAAGTACAGAGAAGTGAGGGCACCGAAGTACAGAGAAGTGAAGTCATTTGCACAAGGTCACAACAGCTAATTAGTGGTTAAGCTCAGATTGGAACCCAGCCCATCTTGCTTTCTAGCCTGTGATCTTAACAATTCTATGATAAATGTTTTTTGGGGAAAAGGAATGGGACTCGATGGTGAATAAGATGGCCTGTGGGACAAAGGCACACATAACTGTAGTTGAGACTTCCAGTTAAAAAAGACAAGCCCTGTGGAGTGCTGGATTGAGACCGCGGGTTATTGCTCCTAGCTTTTCAGAATAATGTCTGTCTCCTGCCAGCCCTGGCCTCTGGTAGAGGGAGCTTGTTGAAGAAGGGCGTGATGTAGACACTTTGTAGACAGCTTATCACAAAACATACCTTTGATTGGCACTAGTAACTCACGGGCATTATTTTGTTTAATTTTCACAATAGCCTGTAAGGGTGATATGTCATCAGATCCAATCTACAGGTGAGGATATGGACACCCGCCCAGGTTATGCGAGCTCTCAAGATCACACAGCTGGTGGGTAGAGGGTAGAGCCTGTCCTCCAATCTGGGCAGTCTGAACACTGCTGGTCACCTTCTTAACAACCACTCACTGACTTCTGCCTCTTGGTGGTGAGGGTCTCATCTGGGCCTGCGTCCCTGCCCCCACCCCCTTCTCCCATCATATTTCTGATCTATATTAGGAGTTTGGCTAAAATTCAGTGTGCACACACACTGTATGTCCACATAACACAGACCCACAGACATTGGAATTGGAAGGTTCTCTTTTAACACAACCTCCTCATTTTTCACAAGCAATTTTTTTTCTTTTTTTATTATACTTTAAGTTCTAGGGTACATGTGCACAACATGCAGGTTTGTTACGTATGTATACATGTGTCATGTTGGTGTGCTGCACCCATTAACTCTTCATTTACATTAGGTATATCTCCTAATGCTATCCCTCCCCCAACCCCCCACCCCATGACAGGCCCCAGTGTGTGATGTTCCCCTTCCTGTGTCCAAGTGTTCTCTTTGTTCAATTCCCACCTATGAGTGAGAACATGCAGTGTTTGGTTTTTTTGTCCTTGTGATAGTTTGCTGAGAATGATGGTTTCCAGCTTCATCCATGTCCCTACAAAGGACATGAACTTATCCTTTTTTATGGCTGCATAGTATTCCATGGTGTATATGTTCACGAGCAATCTCTTGAGGGCCTACTTTGCGCCAGGCACTGTAAGGTGAGTTAGTGACAAGTTGGGCCTGTCCTTATTGAACTCCAGTTTTTGCTCTGAAACAAATAGATATACAGAAGTGATAAGCAGAAATGAGGCTTCTTACACCCTCTCAAAATGTTTTATGCACTTTTAGCACAGTGCATGGAAGCCAACTGCTTTGCCTTCTGATATCTAGTTCAATCTCTGGCCAGACATATTAACAAGAACCCCTGTCCCCGTACTGACCCTCATCAACAGCATTGCTGTTGCTATTCATTTTGCAGACTCATTGTTCTGTTGTTTTTTTTTTTTTTTTTAACTAAGTATATGATTCTGGGGAAGGTGGGTATTACTCTTTTTCTGTTTGAAGCAAGCCCCATACATCTTTTTCTAGAGAAAAAGCTCTAGATCCCATAAGGACTGGTATTCTTTTTTCTTTCTGTTGATGAGACTTGTCTCATTTCTCTTTTTCCTTTGGCTTCCAGGAAGCTCAAGAAAAATTTAAAGCCTGGCTTTGGCAAATATGTAGGTCCTAACAGTCTTCATATTTGTGTTGTGGTTCATGATTTTGAGTTGCTACTTTTATTTGCATTTTCTCAGGCTCTCAATTATTTTGAACTATTGTGGTATCACTATTTTATTCTAAGTCTTCTCAATAGAGGCCATTTCAAATCCTGTGTGGAATAACAAAGGAGTAAACCAGAAGTCAGTAAACTTTCTCTAAGGGGCAGATAGTAAACATATTTAAGCTTTGAGGGCCATACAGTCTCTTTAGCAACTACTCAGCTCCACCATTGTGGTGTGAAATCAACCATCGACACTACGTAAATGAATGAGTGTGGTTGTGTTCCAATAAAACTTTATGTACAATAGCAGGTGGCAAGCCAGATCTGGCCTGTGGACTGTACTTTACAGTGTTTTAAAAGAATTTTAGAGCATCTGGGAAGTAATTTCCTCTTAAGTCGGGAAGTACTTGGCTTAGAAAAAAAAGGAATGGATGGGAATTCTCTCCAAGATGTCTAGTCTCCACTTCCAGGTGACAGATTGTGGAAAAGCAGCTGTGAAAGCTGTCTGGGCAGTTTGGTTCAGGAGAGGAGAGGGCCGTGCCCAGGAGGGGTCAGTCCCTGACAGAGCAAGCTGTGAGGTCTGCCAGTGAGAGTGCATTCTCTGGCACACTGGCAGTGCCCACTCCTTGGAGGGGGAGGCAGTAGGGGCAGAGCTCTAGAAGTGCCGGCCAGCCAGGTTCCCCAGCTCGGGCCAATGGGCCTTCAGCTGCCACGGATGCTGTTCATGGAAGGAATGTGTCTGCAGCTCCAAATTCCCACAGAGAAAGACAAGGGGAATCGTTGGGGAGAAATTCCTGGGCCACATTTTTCTTGCTGTTCATGTGGCCTGAAGCCATTGAACTTGGCCAGCCTGCCCAGGGAGGGATTTACAAAGCCCATTGTCCTTTCCCTGAAGCCTCACCCCCACCCTGCCCCCACCTGCTCTTTCCAACTTTCTTTCCTCCCCCACCCCCAGGAGAAATGCAGCATGGGAAAGAGCAGGAGGCCATGGGGCCAAGAGGGCTCTCTGTCCTTGCCATATGGACAAACACAGCAGAAGCTCCCAAAGGGGACAGGTACTTCCCAGCAGCTGTGATGACATCAGACCCTACCATGCACTCAGGGTGGGAGGCGGTCTCGGTTACCTGAGCAGGAATCACTTAGTGGCATACACGCCACTTACTGTATGCCAAGCACTGTTCTGAGCATTCTGCATAAATTAACTCATTAATCCCTGCAAGAACCCTATCATAATCTCCATTTTACAGATGGGGAAACTAAGGCTTGAAGTGGTTAAGTGATTTATGTGGGTTCCAAATAGTAAGCGGAAAAGTCAGAATTAGAACTGAGGTGTCTGCCTCCAGGGTGATCCTTACTTTCTTACTTCTCACTTTTACTATGTGTGACCCCTCAGCTTAGCATTCTATTTACAGATATCACCTTAATGGTCTGCAGTTATAGGAAAAATTCATTTTACAAAGCATTTGCAGTCAGTCCTGCACACCTTTTAAGGCTCCCAGCACCCCCATGCTATAGAACATGAGACCCTGTATATGAACTAGGCCCATCTGGTGTCTGGTCCACTTAGCTGGGGCATAGTACTGTGCACACTGGGAGTTAACTAGTGCTCCTTGCACTGTTGCTGCTGTGGCTGCTGCTGACACTGTAAGGAGGGACCTCAGTTACCTAGAATGTGTCAGATCCTGGGTTTGTGTTTTCACTGAATCATAAGTCATTGACACAACAACCCTGAGAATGATGTTGATAACCTCCTTTTACAGATAAGGAAACCGGGCACATCAATCAGGTAATTCATGCTTGCTGCTCTAACAGCTCCCAAATCTCAGTGGCTTAATCCCCTAAAGACTCTTCTTGCTCAGGTCACTGGCTCCTGCAGGTCAGCATGAAAAGGGAAGAGGGAGTGGGGCTGCTCCATGTGGTCACTCAGGGACCCAGGCTCCTTCTAGGACCTCAGTGTCCTCCTCTGAATCCTCTGCTGTGAGATGCAGGGAGAGGGGGCAGGGAGTTTCTCAAGGGATTTTAGGAGCTGGTGCTGACAGCAGCCTCAGAAGCCTCAGAGGTCACCTGTCACTCCTACCTGTGTTTCCTTGACCAGGGTTTAGTCATGTGACCCTGTCTTACTGCAGGGAGGATGGGAGGCGGAGTCAATCTTTGCAGCTGCAAGAGAAGCAGAGGCTTTGGCTGCCACACCGGTCCAGAGGGGTGAGGTGCTGTAAGGGACAGTCAGAACTTTTGGCACCCAAGCTGGTGCGTTGCCACCACACTGCTTTGACTGAAACTGACGCCAAAGCTATCTGAATTGAATTCCAACTTCTACCATCTTGAAAGACTCTCAGTTCATGTGGACAACGAATGGGGTAGAAGGCCCTGAGGGTTGTCAGCATTGGCTGTGATATGAAAAAAAGAGAATGGCACATGGCAAATGCCCGACACCCTTCCCTTTCTCAGTGGAGCTGTGGCCAGGTGTGCTCACAGGTGGAGGGGCGGGAATTGGGAGAGTTTCTGCCCTGAGGAAAGGGGAGCATGGGCGCTTGCTGTGGCCACCTAGCTGTGGAAGGAGAAAGGCGCAGGATGGGGCCCGGCAGAGGCTGGCCTGGGTCCTGTTCAAAGCATAGATAGATGTTGGGGTGGGGAAGGTCCCTTGTTCCTCGGGGTTTTGCTGCAGAAACTGCAATTCTTCGAGGGTGTTCTGCCTTCTGAGAATACCTCCACACTCTGCTCAGTCTTGAGGGGGAGGTCTCTGCCAGACGAGGGCACTGGGTTGCCCCAGGATGATGGGCACAGGGTGGTATCTTCCAAGCTGGCCTTGGTGTTGCCAATGAGAGGACAGCTGTATAGAAATAGGGGGTTGAGCCTGTGGAGCTGCCAGCAGGGGAAGGAAAGGGCTGCCAAGTCTCTGCAGGATCAGGCAGGGGACCTTCATGCTAGAGGACAAAGTTTGCAAGCTCTTGTGCCCTCGCCACTATTTTCCGGGCTGAGTTGGCCTCAGATGGCCAGGTCAGACCCAGCTCTACTGTTGCATAGCTCAGAAGACCACTGTCCCCCCACCTGCTAGTTACTCAGTACCAAGTTGGCTCACTCAACCTCCAGTGCCTCTGTTTCCCCACTTCCTACAGCCAGGCCTCAATCCACCCAACAGACCTCCTGTAAACCAAACCTCAAAAAACATTTTTCAGACTATGGACACCAGTTCATTAGAGGGGTCATGAAATCAATTCTGTGGGCTTTGTCTGGAATTTTTAAGAAGGAGATAGACTCACATAGGACAGAACATGCCAGAAGGCACTGCATGTAGGAACAGCGGTGTTTCCTGAAGCCTCAGCTTCTGTTGCCCTGGGCTCCCAGGGGGCAATGTAATGTCTATTTCTTGTCAAAAAAGTGTGAAAACACTGTGTTGGTGTATTTGTCTCATTCCTTTCAGAAAACCTGGGCTCTTTGTGCAAATTAGTCCACAAATTTCTTTTCCTCCCCAAGCTCTCTCAACCAATCACCCCTCTTCTGCAGGCCAAAGAAGGGCACAATCTTTGCCAGGCCACTCAATAAAAAAAAAACCCCATCACCAAGGGCTGCAAAAATTCCTGTTATACAGGAATCCCAGGAGGCCGGCTGCTTTCTAGCCTTGCATTTGCATATCTAAGAGGGCCACTTAAGTGACCCTTCACAGGACAAAGAAGGTTAGCTTCTCTTAATTTTTAAAAAATGAAAAGAAAGAAATCCTTCTGGTTTCCACATTCCTTCAGGGCAGCCCTTGCGGGGTGGCTGGTCTTGCAGCTCTGCTCTGGTGCATCAGCCAGAGGGTCCTCTGCTTCTCCAGCGTTATTCCTGCCACCAGGATTTGTGGAGCCCTGCTCTGTGCCAGACATGGAAGACTGTGGACCAGAGCCCCTTCCTGGAGCCCTCTCCTCATCCTCGGGCTGTGTACATGTGATGAGGATAAGTGGCTCACATCCCTCTCCAGCCTCACTATGGGTGTGTTGCTCCTGTCCCCACATGCTCCAGCTCTGCCCCCAAGCCCATCAGGGGAGGCCTGGTTCTCCAGGATGCTGGAATTCTCAGTCTTTCCTATGCTGACTTGACGGGAGGTTCTCATGTTTATTGAGCATCTGCTGTGTGCCAGGCACTGCTGTATTCCAAAATGTCTGCCAAGGGCCTGCAAAGGTCATTACTGTCACCATCCAGTGAAACTCAGGAAGATGAGGTGACTTTTCAAGGTGGCGCACACAGGGGGGAAGCAGCAGGTCCTCTCCTCGGTCTCTTGGATGCCTGCAGCTCTGTTCTTCCCACCTGACCGCAGGCCTCCGGGAGCGGCACCGGAAGTCCCAGGGGCAGTGCCTCGGGCCAAGTAAATGATACAGCATGGCTGGAGCAGCATGCTGCATGGATGGAGGTGCTAGGCAGAGAGGGGGTGCAGGAAGATGGGAGACCCGCCAGGAGTGGACAGCAGGAACAGGAGCTTGGTCTTCCGGCCCCTGAGAGTGTGGACTGGATTCCAAGACTAGTGAGCATGGGCCCTGCTGCGGAGGGCCAGTGGCCCTGGCAGTGTCACTCCCAATGCCACAATGGTATGAGTTTTCCATAGGGATGCCATAACTAACTCCCACAAACTGGGTGGCTTAAAACAACAGAAACTTCTTTGGTTAGAGTTCTGGAGGCCAGAAGTCCAGGATCGCGGTGGAGCTCTAAAGGCTTGAGGGAGGAATCCTTCCTTGCCTCTTCCAGCTGCTGGTGACTTCCAGGTTCCCTAGAAACCCTTGGCTTGTAGACCCATCCCCCAGCTTCTGCTTCTGTCTTCACATGACCTTCCTCCCTCTGTGTCTCTGTGCATCCTGTCTGTCCTCTCCTCTGCTTCTAAGGACACCAACCATTGGATTTGGGGCCGCTCTAATTCAGGATTACCTCCTCTTAGCTCATTGCATCTGCATGAATTCTGGGGGACACTATTCAACTCAAGACAACAACTTCCCTTCTTTCCTAACCTTGGCCTCCCAAACTCTGTCCCCTCAATCTCAAGTCAACAGAAAAGCATCAGGGAGAGCTATGTTCTTGGAACCCACGAAGGCAACGGACTAGCAGAAGACTCTCCAGACCTGGTGTTTTTCAGTAATTGTAATTCCAGTTTTTGGGATTCTGGTATTCCAGAATAATGTGCTTTTGAGAAATGCTGAACTATTAGTATTTTTGTGACATGTTTTTTAAAAATTAGAACCATTTACACCTGGGAATGCACTACAGTAGGCGTTTGGATCCAGTAAAGGAAAGCTTGTTTAGAAAGCAGTTTTCTATTCTTCCACAACCCAGAAGGAGGGGAACTACGCTGCCTCCATCATGATAGAAATCTTCACTCTGCTTCAGAGACTTTCCAGCCTGGAATTTGCTCCAGGTGACACACTGGCATCTCCACCTACCCATATTAACACTGGAGAAGATGACCACAAACCAGGAATGCTTTCTCTGAAATAAAACTAAAGCTCATGATCAAATAAAAAAATGTAGTTCCTGCCAACAAAAAAGAAGGGAGGTTAAAATAAAAGATATCTTCTAAAGTGGGGAAGAAGAAATGGAATTACTTGAAGATGAAAAACTCAAAGGATAATATTGGAAATTAGTTTGAAATTTAGCTTGGAACGTCTCACCATTGCCTTGACCAGCCTAGAGTAAACAAAAGGTTTCAGCAGCCGGAAAAAATGGGCACAAAAATATGCTCATGATCCAGATAACATCAAATAGTAGATTTTCATTCCAAATATTATTAGAAGTTTCTTTATCTTGTAGGGTTTAGTTCATTACTTTTGAATAATATTTTATTCATGTCATCTGCTAACAATTAGTATGAGAAGGGTAACATTTTTTTTTTTTTTTTTTGAGACGGAGTCTCGCTCTGTCGCCCAGGCTGGAGTGCAGTGGCGCGATCTCGGCTCACTGCAAGCTCCGCCTCCCGGGTTCACGCCATTCTCCTGCCTCAGCCTCCCAAGTAGCTGGGACTACAGGCGCCCGCCACTACGCCCGGCTAATTTTTTGTATTTTTAGTAGAGACGGGGTTTCACCGTTTTAGCCGGGATGGTCTCGATCTCCTGACCTCGTGATCCGCCCGCCTCGGCCTCCCAAAGTGCTGGGATTACAGGCGTGAGCCACCACGCCCGGCCAACATTTTTAACATTTATATTTCACAGATTTTTGTTTTCACTTAATGCTTCTAATATTTACTTTTTATTTGAAATGTCTAATATTTTAGCTGAATTTTAAAATGTTAGGCATTCTGAATACCTTTCCATAGAAAATATTGATAATCAGTGTTGGTATTTTAGCAATGTAGGGAATAAATACTTGTATTCCTTCATGTTGTTTTTCTCTGGTACTGCAATTATAATGCTGTGCTAATTAGCTATTGTTAAATAGCTGTAAATTAATTTAAATACATTGACTTATAATAAATTTTTTAATTTAAACTAATTTATAGCCTTTACCAATAACTAACCATGTGCCAAGCAACACGTTTAACATCCTACATGGAACTACTTTTGTCACGGCCATTTTTCAAATAAGGAGCCTGAAGTTTACAGGGTTCTGTGACTCGCTCTGGACCTCAGATCTGGGGAGAGGCTGAGCCGTGATTGAAACTCAGACAGTAAGACTGAGCACCTCACCCTTAACCATGACCCCACAGGACAAATAATTAAGAGTGTCAAATAAGTCAGCCAATACATAATAACCATCATTTTCTAGCCATCTTTGCTTTTGAGTTTATTATGTGCACTAGTACACACAGACTCTAACCCCATAGAGATCAGGCAGGTAAGATAAACTGAAAAAGCAGCTTTTGCTCTTGCTGCCCAGGCTGGAGTGCAATGGCACAATCTCGGCTCATCACAACCTCCACCTCCAGGGTTCATTCTCCTGCCTCAGCCTCCCGAGTAGCTGGGATTACAGGCATGCGCCACTGTGCCTGGCTAATTTTGTATTTTTAGTAGAGACGGGGTTTCTCCATGTTGGTCAGGCTGGTCTCGAACTCCTGACCTCAAGTGATCCTCCCGCCTTGGCCTCCCAAAGTCCTGGGATTATAGGTGTGAGCCACCATGCCCTGCCAGCTCCTGTCAATTCTTTATATGGAGGAAGCAGGCCCAAATTTACCCTATAGAAATCTATATATTTTTAGTGGGTAAAATCCTGTGCATTGAAAATATTGCATGAGCCAAACAAAATATGTCTGTGAGCCAGAATCAGCCCATGGGTAGTCAGCCCTGGCTTGCAGCTCAGTTTGCAGCCTGAGAACTAGACTCCATTTCTTGTTATTGTTGCCTCTCCCAACCATGACTTTTAGCATTCTTTCTGCTTTTGGATGATTGCTCCTTCATTGGTTTAATTTATCACGCACTTTTAAAGAACCAGGCACCTTAAAAGCAGCGCTTTGGAGCAAAACAACATCAAGGCTACTCAACCCCGGACTAGGAGTTCTTGAGGGAGGGGATCACATCTCAGGATCTCCTAGTCCAGGGTTGGGTAGGCTTGATGTTGTTTTGCTTGAAAGTGCTGCTTCTCCAATTTTAAGATGCACACAGAGCACCCAGGACAAACTGCAAGAACACAGATTCTGTTTGAGGTGGCATGGGTGGGGCCCCAGGGTCTGTATTTCCACCAAGCTCCCAGGTGATGCTGATGCAGCTGGCCCATGGACCACACGTGCATAGGAAGAACCTACTCTGGGGAGCAGCCTATGTCTCAGAGGGTTCCTGAGCTGACAGTTGGAGGAGGCTCTGTACTTGGGTTTGGTTTCTCAGAGGTGACCTGGGTCATTCAACCCCCACCTACTAATCCCCTGCCACATTCCTCCCCACATCCTAATTTATCTAGGGATTTAGTCTAGCTGAGATCACTCATAAAGAATTTTATCTACATCTTTGTTCTGCGCTGGCACAAGCATACCTCCTCCTGCGCATCACCCCTTCCTGCCCGGTGCGCTATCACCATCTGAGGGACTTCTGTGCACATCCTTCTGTGTCTCTGTGTCACAGAACCGTGGTGCCCAGCACCAGCCTGATCTTCTTGAGCCTCCTGCTAAGAGCATGACCCTGCTGAGAGTCAGCCTGGAGTCTAGATCCATGCAGCTAGCCCGCTGCAGGACAGGCGGCATCCTGGAGCCCCCAAAGGCAATGGAAGTGTCCCCCTGTGTAGAACAGGCTGTGGGGTCAGGCAGGCAGGCAGAGTGTCACACTAAAGAGAGAGGCTGGGCCAGTGCACTGGAGTATAGACCATGTTATGCACCCAGGAAGCCAAGCTGGTCCAGGCAGGCAGTCCTATTGGTGGGACACTAAAGGCACCTTCCAGTTGGCATCATTCAAGAGATGTGGCTGAAGTTTGATCACCTAATTGGGACCCTGGCCTCGATCTGCAAGGATGAAGGTGCAGGCCACCCTCCAAGGGTGACATTACCTATTGAGCTCCATGGGGGGAGTTCAGTTAAAGGCCCCTTTGCCGTATTGGATCAGGAAGAGCCACCTGTGAAGTGTATGCTGGAGCCTTGCTATCAGCAGGTTGGACAGGAGAAGGCTGTAGGGCAGGGGCCGGGTGCTGGAGGGAAGAGCATGGCACGAGAATGTGGTGGGAGCTGTGCATGCCCAGCCCTTGGAGAAGCCACTTTCCCTCTCTGGATGTCAAGTTTATGAATGAGATGAGGACCATGATAAGATGTGCACCAAACTCACTCAGGACTTGAGCTCTGAGGGCCAGTGCATTTGCAGGAAGAGACCAGCAAGGAATGTTCGAAGGTTGTACCCACAGGATGGAGCCCAGCAGGTCAGAACAGAGGGCCACTTCCTGCATTTAAATTCAGAAACTCATTGTCAGGGCCAGTTTCATGGCCTTTAACTAGGGCATGTGCTCAGTGACACCCTTGCCTCTTGAAGGGCTCTGCATTTAGAATTGAATGCTCTGTGGTTAGTGTCTTGAAATTCTTAATCATTCTATCTTTAAATTTGTGTTTTTTAAGTGAAGTCGAGTGGGCCAGTGGAGCGTATGCTGAGGGCTGGGGCCCTTCTGCAGTCCTGCCTCCTGCTGCCTCTGCCTCCGCCTCCTGTGAGTGGGTTTTCCTGGCTCCCTCCTGCCTCCTGATTCCCAGGCCTCTGCCCCGCCTCTCCTGGCCCTGCCCAGTGGCTATTGCTGTCTTCCCCTCATGCCCAGTGGAGGCCTGACCACAGGCATGAGGAGGGCTGGGGTTGGGGTCAGGCACCCCAGAGTGTTTTGGGGTGGAGTATGCTCAGGGTCGGCAGTGCCAGTGCCACAGGGTGGGTATCTTTGTGGGGATGGGTCTGTTGCCCATCCCCAATCCAGGTGCCTAGTGCATGGCAGAGTGGAGGCTGAACACCCTTGGGGGTGGCCTGTCCACTGCAGGTGGGGTAGCAGGCTGTCGGAAGAGGAGCTGCCTGGCTGGACTTCCTTGCCCAGGTTGGTGTCTGTATGTAGAAAGGAAGGCTCCATAGGAGAGCTGGGGAGGCTGAGCCCAGGAGTCATCTCCCTATTGGTGCCCATTTTCAGTACACCCTCAGCAGAGCAGCACGGTCCTAGTGACTGGTGGGAGAGGGACCTGGCTGCTGGTGGGCATGTATGGAGCAACTTGGGGGCCCCTGGGTGTCTGTGAGGGTCTGTTCTCACCCCTTGAGTATCCATGTGCCCAAGGGGACACACCAGCTAAATATCAACTAAAAAACATGGTGCAGGGGCTAGCCCTAGGCCCGCACAGAGATGTGCAGCCCTTCACATCCATTTGTGTGGCCATTGAGCCCCGCAGAGTCCTCCTTCCATCACAGTGGAGAAGCTCAGAGCTGCAGGGAAGCGGGGTGGCCTCCAGGCTCCTCACTGCCTTGGGGACAGCCCTCCTGAGCACAGTGCCCAGAATCAAACACAGTCCAGGGACATCTCTCTGCATCCCAGATTCACACCACCCTGAGCACAGCCTCAGGGCCCCTGCTTCTGGGGTGGCTCACCCACTCTGCTCAGGACCAGCTAGAGAATTTTTGGGGACTCAAGGCAAAAATAAACATGTCCTGTATTTAAAAAAAGGAAAAAAAGTGCCATTAAAGGGATTAAGTATAAAGTTTTTTTTCTTTTTTCTGCTGTCTCTTGACCTGTCAGTGAGTAGTTCTCAGACCAGCAGCACCAGTATTGTCCAGAGTTCATTAGAAATGCAGATTCCTTGACTCACTCCAGGCCTCTGGAGCCAGGGAAGGGCCAGCAGCCTGGGGGATTCTGATGCACCAGGAAATTTGAGAAGCACAGCTGTAAAGCGATGATTATTAGATTTTTTGTTTGTTTTAAAGCAACACAACTAAAAAATTAAAATCTCATTGGAAGCTTGTTTGTCTATGACAGATAAAAGAAGAACTGAAAAAAAAAGAGAGAGGCTGGGCGTGGTGGCTCATGTCTGTAATCCCAGCACTTTGAGAGGCCAAGGTGGGCCGATTGCCTGAGGTCAGGAGTTCGAGACCAGTCTGGCCAACATGGTGAAACCCCGTCTCTACTAAAAATACAAAGAAATTAGCCGGACATGGTGGTGTGCACCTGTAATCCCAGCTACTTGGGAGGCTGAGGCAGGGAATTGCTTGAACCAGGGAGGTGGAGGTTGCAGTGAGCCAAGATCGTGCCACTGCACTCCGGCCTGGGTGACAGAACAAGACTCCGTCAAAAAAAAAAAAGAGAAAGGACTGGGTGGGGTCAGGGGAGAAACTGTCCTGCCGTCTGCATATCGTACTTCACATGATGATTACAGCTGTCTTGCCAAGTAGGCAGTTTCCCTTCTACGATCAGATGATGAAAATGAAGCCCATGGGATTTAAGTTATTGGTCCAGGTTCTTTTATTGAGCAAATGGCAGAGCTCAAATGTGAATCTAGCTCTGTCTTACTCCAAGTCTGAGGCTCCCACCCCCTCCCCATCCCTGCCGTTCTTTCTTTGTTCATCCTTCCTTCTTTCTCTTTCTCCCCTTGCTTCTTTCATTTTTGCCTGTAGAGCACCTGTTCTATGCTGGTGTTCTCATCTAGGCCTGTGCTGTCCAATACGGTGCCACCACACATGTGGGTCCTGAGCATGTGAATGAAGCAGGTGTGCCTGAGCAATGGAATTGTCAATTTAATTTAATTTACATTAGTTTAAAAACTGACATTCAGTTCCATTGCTGAAAAACATTTAAGTATGTTTGGAATAACTTGGGTATGTGACTCTACTTTTCAATCATACATTTTATGAAATCTAAATGCCGATCAAAGATGGCTATAGTTAATTAATATATTACATAATTTCAAATAGGAGGACAGTGAATGCTCGCAACACAAATAAATGGTAAATGCTTGAGATGGTGGATATGCTAATCACCCTAATCTGATCACTGTACAATATATGTATCAAAACATCACTATGTACCCCATGAATATGTACAATTATTATGTGTCAATTTAAAAAATTAAAAAATTAGAATAAGTAAATATATATCAAGTACTTCCAGTGAAAATTTAGTGTCTGCATGGAAATGTGCTTTAAGTGTAAATACCAATTTAGACTTGGAAGCAAAAAAGAATGTGGAATATTTCACTAATGTTTATTTTGATTACATATTGAAATGATAGTATTTTGGAGCCAGTAGTTTAAATAAAAATACATTATTAAGAACAATTTCACTAGCTTTCTTTCCTTTTAGTTTTAAAAAAATTTTAAATTTTTAGTCCTTGTGAGTGTGTAGTAGGTGTATATATTTATGCAGATATTTTCACATGTGTACTCACTAGAAAATTTACAACCACAAACATGGCTTGCATTACATCTCTATAGAAGAGCGCTGCTCTAGGACACGATTTTGGCCAAAGGAATGATCCTGCTCAAGGGGACTCTTTCCAGGGAGCCTGCAGGAGTTTCCCACACCTGGTCCTGTGCTGAGCTGAGAGAAGTGAGGCTAAGACAGGAGAACCCCACTGCAAAGCCAGGAAGTGTAAGAGCCACTCCCATCTCAGGGGTGGGGATCACTGGCAAACTTCTCATCTAATTTCATTTCTGTCATTACCCATCATCTGGCGCTCTGCAGACAACCTCAGCAGGGGCTGCACGAGGTCAGGCCAAGACTCAGGCTGGCTGGTACCAGGTGCCGAGATAGGCCGGTATCAGCATCCTCCCCACTCAGGCGGCGGCTAATGTGATCAGGGATGCTCTGGGCATGTCAGACACACAGTATCTGTCTCCTCTGCGGAGTAATCTGTGCACACTGGCTCTCCTTCAAGGTCAGGCCTCCCTTTAAGACAGCAGGCAGCAGTCTCCTATCTGCTCCAAGGGCAGGCTGGATAAGGCCAGGCAGCTACAAGCTCCATGCCTGAGGGCGACTTCAATGACCTTGTGTAGCCATAAGACGGGCAGGAACTGGCTCCCTCTGGACAAACTTGGCTATAGAATGCCAGCTGGTGCCATTCTACTCGTTCAAGCAGACACGTCGGAGGTCACTGGGCCAGCCCTCTCGTCTTACACAGGGGGAAACTGAGATTCAGAGAAGGGAAGAAATCTAATCTGGTTGCCCTTGAGAGCTAGGGTCTGAGCTGAGTCTGGAAGCCACTTAAACAGGCCCCCAAGGCAGAGATGTTGTTAGTGATCAGGACTCCCTGGCTTGATCCTGGAGAACTTGACACATAAACTTGTAAATGCACGAAAGACTCAGGGCTCTGCTTTAAGCAGCCTGGCTTCTGCGCTGCCTCCCACAGGGGTCCCCGCTACTCCTGTGGCAGTGTGGTCTTTTCTGTCGACATTGCCAGGGTAGGGGTGGGGGCACAGAATAGACATTGGTGGAGATGAGCATCAGACATTACAGTTCTTGTAAGCCCCTCAGTTGGTCTACCCTGAGTGATCTTTCTAACACATAGTTTTTGTTTTATTTTTAAGGATTCAAATGTACTTTACTTTTTCCATAATGCCATATTTTAATGGGCACATGGAGCTTTTACTTGGCATCAATTATGATTTGTGTTTTAAACAATTCAGTATGACACCAGCTGGGATGATTACTGATCTCTCCATTCCGTTAGGGGTGACCCTGGCAACAGGGCACAGATTCCATCCAATTCCAATTGGTGTTGCAACATAGGTCCATACGGGCAGTAGAGAAAGAGGCTCCGCTAGCTAACATGGCATTACCATACCTGTCATGAAAATCATGTGTACATTTCTGGTGGCTCTGCCTTTCCATTGTTTGCTGAATGCTTTGAACTCTGAGGTTACTTACTGTGCCGTTGGCCAAGGGAAATCCTGAAGCTAAAGATAAAAGTGTCTCAGTCAGGGACACCTCTATCAGAGCACTCATCACACAGCATTGTGATGGGATTGGGTTGCTGTTATTAATCATAACGATTAATGATTAGAGAGCATGCAGGGAGGAGGGGAGCTTATCTAGACCAGGTACCTACTATGAGCCAGGATCTGGGTTCTCAGTGAATCCTCACCACAACCCAAGGTGCTTGGCAATATTCTCACCCCCAGTTTATGGGACATTGAGGCACGGAGCCCTCTGTGACTTGTCAAAACCCACACAGTCCCTGAGTAGCATGGCTATGCTCACATCCAGCTCTCCCTGACTCTGGCCTGGAGAGATGGGTGGTCTGGAACAGCACTGACTAGATGCTGTGAGGCCCTTGATGTCTGTTGAGAGTGTGTGGAAAATGGGCACAAACAGGAAGATGGCTCCCAGGCTTGCCTCCCCAGCTCTTCCTCGGAAGCTTCCTTTCTACATGCAGACACCAGCTTGCCTAGGCAACATCTGCATCCGCGTGTGGTGTGTCTGGCGACAATCAACCCCATGGCCCTGATTCCCATGGGACACAATGCTAGCTTTGCTACTACCATGGTCTCTGAAGACTGGTTGGAGCTGAAAACCCAAGACCTCAAAGCCATCCCTGTCCAGGCCTCCTATTGCCTGCAGGATTCCCATCTGGTGTTTGGGGAGTTGGGGGGGAGGCCCCAAGGAGCCCAGTGGGAGGGAAGGAGCATGGACCTCTGTGGGAGAGCAGAGAGCTTGCCAGGCCTCTGAATGGTACAGCTGGCCCCCGAGTCTCCTGACCCTGATCTTGAGAAATATGGGGCTCCCAGCCCAAAGCAGACAGGTGCTCCAGGATGGGGACTAGACCCAGGCCTCAGAGCAGCTGTGGTACCCTTCACCTCCTTCTGCACCAGAAAACAGAGCACTCTCCTCCTCCTCCTTTTCCTCAGATCCAGGGTGGCCATTCACGTCTTCCTCGGGCTAATCCTCAGCACTGCACACTCAGGTCCTTCCCCACAAGTAGGAATTGCTCCTGAGTGTGGGGGGCCATCGGCTCGGTGCAATGTTGTTGAAAAGGCATCCCGTCCTGGCCCCTTGTCTGGCACTTGGAAAGGGCAAGGCCAATGATGTGACACTCAGCCCTGCAGAAATACAGTCATGGACCATCTGGAGCAGTGAACATTTGACAGAGACTGGCTGTTTGTCTTCTACTCTCCCCTCTGGAAGGCACCCAAGTTCCTTTGGAGTCTCCTTGCCCCCACTAGGCGAAGTCTTGGGAGGGCTGGTCCAGATGCCAGAGTGGATAGGCCCTTCCTCACCACCCCAGTGTAGTCAGGGGTAGGCATGTAGCTTAAGCACAGATACTGAGACTTTGGGCTTTCGGCAAGTGAGCCATGCCGGGATTGCAGAGCCAGGCGAGATTCAACCTTCCCAGCACAGAGTACCACCCGCTCGCCCCTCCCAGCTCCTGGCCCCGTGACAGCCCAGCCGCTTGCCCCTTCCACAAGTGTCACTCCCATCACATCCTACCCCCTGGTTTCTGGTGAATTTCCCCTTTGCTAGAGTTAGCCAGAGCTGGCTTCTGCAACCTGCTCCAACCAGGACTCTTAATCTCCACTCCCCCGGCCCCACCCCATTTACGGTTACTCACTAGAAAGACTTATGGTTCTGGTCTCAAGCCTGCAGCCAACCCACTTGGTTCCCTTTGATAGCACCAACCCACTTGGTTCCCTTCAATAGCATTGTGCTAATTCCAGAAGACGGATTTTAGCAATGAGTTACAAAGCTTAACGGATGACCTAATTCATCTCACCAAACATGGCCGTTTTTTGGGGACAGGCCTGCTCTGGGATCTTAGCAACTCTTTTTGCCCAGAGTGCCAAAGCAGGCCTCTCCACTCCCCACCCGCTCCTTGTGGATTTAAAGGGAGGCCTAA
Organism: Homo sapiens; assembly: GCF_000001405.40. NCBI lineage: Eukaryota > Metazoa > Chordata > Mammalia > Primates > Hominidae > Homo > Homo sapiens. Next base: position 48,548,659 of record NC_000010.11, read on the forward strand.
ACTTGGCCTGGGGCTGGATGCCCACATCAGCAAAAAGCCCAGGTCTGAGAGGCCCCCAGGATCAAGTCTGCAAGGAGCAGACAGCTTTCAAAGGGCTGGGAGGGGCAGGGTTTGCCAGGCAGCTGCCCTGGCAAGACAGAAGTACCAGGTGGGCAGGACCTGGGGGTCCTTGAGTCTCAGTCCCTTTGTGGGGCCTGGCTCCTTCATGCCTGCCCCGGGGGAGCTAGCCTCAGCAGGCTGAGGAAGAGCAGGGCTCTGGGGTTAGAGCTGGCTCAAGCTGCAGTTCCACCGCTCACCGGCCCTCGGATCCCAGCAAGTTACTTAGCTTGTCAGAGTCCCAGGGGCCTTGCCTGTTAGATGGGTTAGTAGAGGTTAGTCCCAGGAGTGTGGTGAGGATAAACGTGGTGTGCTCAGCTTCATTCCTTAGAAGGAACTCAGTGAATGTTTAGCCCACTAGCACTCATACACACCTTGGTCTACAACCTCAGGCACTCAACAAATATGATATTTGTTAGAAAGAATCATGTTAATTCTATCTCCAAGCCCTATGTTCCCAGGCTGGAAGGGAGCTGAGTCCCAGCTACTATTGAGATGGAGGGAAGGGGTCCTCTTTGCTGTGGTCAGGCTTACATGGGGCCTGGCAATGGGATGGGCTGTTCTTGGTCCCTCCTGGTCACCTGATGTCTTTACCTGCAGTCACTTGGGGCTGGAAGCTAGGTAGCTCTCCTGCCTTTCTTGACCATGGTGTGTCTGTCTGAGGCGGGACCCTGGTGTCTGGAGCCTGCTTTCCTGGTGGCACCATGCCTATCACCTTCCTGGGGCATTGCTGGGGGCAGGGTGACCAGTCTAGGGGAACGCCTCTTTCCCGACCCTGTCCACATCAATTATCTGGGGTGGGAGAGCAGGAGATTTCTGCTTTCTGCTGCAGAGACCTCACCTTCCCCTGAGGCAAGTGGCCTAGGGATTAAAAAGGGCCAGGAGATCAAAGCACAAACCAGCATCTTATACATTATACGGTCCTCCTCCTCTTGGAATAATAATTATTAGAATTAAAACATTGGTTATAGCTTTGCCTGCCCCCAATTAACTCAAACCTCCTCTCACTCAGTCCGCTTGTGAGGCCCATCTCATTCACCCTTCCAGGATTCTAAGTCCCCCACTATCTCTACACCAGGGGCAGCCTCTCCACCTTGGACCCTGAGCCCACTCAGCAGTGTTTTTTGCAAGCCCTCCAGATGAGGCGGAGGCTCACTAAAGCTTGAGAACCACTGCCCGACACCATTCTCCTGCCACAGAGGACAACTTTTCATTCTGGCAGAAAGCTTAACCTCCTGTTGCTTCCAATCCTTACATTAAATTCAGTTACCTATGTGCTGAGCGCCTTGGAACTAAGGTGTGAAGGAGACACACAGACCCCGTGCCCACTGTGCTTGCCCATTGCTGCTTCTGCCCAGCTGCTCTCCCTGATTCTTCACCTGGCTGACTCTCACTTAACCTTCAAAGAGCAGGGTCGTTGTCACTTTATCCTGGAAGTCCCATGCACTCCCTGCGTGCATTAGGGTCCCCTCCTCCAGGCTCACACAATTGCCTTTTTACTCTCCTCCTAGCCTTTCTCATCCTGTGAGTCAATGTCTGCCTTCCTGCCTGCTTCCTGAACTTGTTAATTCTGTGAGGGTAGGAAGGTGTCTTTCTTACTCCAAGGTAACAGATCATTATACAGAATGGCAGGACTACTGACTGTTCACCAAACCAGCCTTGCCTTCCTCCTGGAAAGAGGTGGACTCCATTTCCCAGACTCTCTTGCTCCGAGGTGTAGCCATGCAACTGCATTCTGGCCAATGGGCTGTGACGGGATGATGGGGCCACTTCCAGGCCTGGACCAACACATCTCCCAGGCATGATGGCCTCCTAGCATGGAAACAACTAGGATACTTTTGCAAGCCACAGGTTTCAGATGGCGAAACCATGAAATAGGAAGATGCTGGGAGATCAACTGCCTGCCAATCACAAGTGTTCATTTTTGACTTTATATGAAAGACAAATACATTCTTGTGTCAAGATCCTGAGATTTGGGGGTTATTCCAGCAGTTCACTTACCCTAATACAAAAAAGCTAAGCTCACTGGAGAATAAACATGAAATGGTTTTACTTTCCCAATAACTATGCCTATCACTTCCTACCTTCCCTTTGAGTCGTTGCTCACTTGGTGATTTTCCCAGGGTCCAGAGTGTGTGCCACTCTTAGTTATTCTAACAGTCTCATTAAGGATCTCTCCAATCCTTAATTCTGTTCCCTCACATCTGGTTCAAAGCTCTTTTTGTGCTGCTCCCCCAGCACTGTGGCCCTCACGGACTGGGGTGTGCTGGCATAGATAGGGGTTGCTTCTCCTAGACTCTTCCCTGAACTGCACCCTGGGCACTGGGGTGGGAAGGAGGCAGAGGGGAAATGTAGACCTTTCTTTGCTTGCCAGGCAAGGTTGCAGTTCCCTCCCTGGTGGACGGTGTTGTGAACTGGGGCAGGGGCACCCTCCCAACCAGCTCCTCTGGGCACTGGGGATCTGTTGTGCGTTCTGACCTCAAATCTCAGCTGACTTCCTGCAGGTGGCATCTTGCCTGTCTGCCCTGCACTATGAGAATTCTAGAAAGTCTGAGGGCCCATGTCATCCTCTTTTCTCCATCAGTGCCCAGGCCTGTGGTCCCACAGAGGCTTCACATTCTGCTCCTCTTGAGAACTGGATGCTTACGGCAGGAGGTGTGCCTGGCAGAACCCCATTTGCCATCAGTCCTCAGTCAGATTTTCCTTGCCTGGGTAACCATGAAAAGCAAATCTTGTGTGTAAGCAACTGTCCAAGCAAGACACAAATGCCAGTCACCCTTTCTCTCAGCCTCCCTTAAACTTTATAAGTGGTTTTCCTGCGTGTCCCCGCAGCTTCAGGGAGGAGACCGTCACCTCTGCCCAAAGCAATTGCTCCCACCTCTCAGTACGCTTTATATACTGACCATGTCGGGAAAGCAGTGGCAGGCCACAGCCACAAGAGGACAGAAGTCCCACTGGCACTAAAGCCCCCTTATAAGAGTGTTTTCTCTGTGTCTTGCTCAGTGGCTGGATGTGCAGGTTCTCAGGTGCTTTTGGAACCAGAGGTGTATGCTGTATCAAGTTCCAAGACCTCCCAGCCCAGATGGGAACAATGCTAGAATCTGTAGGAGGCCCCATATGGCCAGATGTCTGTGTTGGAGGGCAATTTTAGTGTGTGGCTTTGGAAGCCAGATGGCTTGGCCTCAAGCTCCACTCCTATCTAGCTGTGCTGGCTGAAAGGCTGGGGGTGGGCAACAGGGCCTGCACTTTCTGGCCCAGAACTGGCAGATCTCTCCACTAGATGGCACTCACAGTATAATGTTTCCTCATTTTTAATTCTACTTTGAAAACATTGTCATTTTTTATACCGTTGAATTGCACAAATAGAACTATGGCTTAAAATTTACGTAGTTAATTCTAGGCATGACCTTCCTTGGAATTCTGTCACATTTCCAAGAGTTGTCAAGTTTTTCCCCCTCTTGGGGGTGCTGGTTGGAGAGTGAGGGACCCATTGTGGTGTGACCAGTACCACAGGCCAGCACAGGCATAGCCTGGAAGTGATCCGGGGTTTGTCCTCCTTCCTCATATCCTGCCCTGATTTCCTGGCCTAGGCCCAGACCCCAGGCGGGGCTGTTAGGCTCCTTCCTGCGCCTGTTAGTTCACTGCTCACAGAGCCTGCCACCTGGCACCCTCGGAACTGTAGGAGAAGCCCCTTGTCCCCCCAGATGCACTTGCCACCCTTCACCCACCCAGCCTGGATTTCCTCTTGGTCTTTGCACATTTACCCCGGGGGCTGTGCTTGGTGCACACTGGCATGGCCCACTTGGTGATACTTCCTGCTCCTGCCCCCAGGTAACTGTGCTCAGCCTAGTGAGGATAAGTCCTTATTGTGCCTTGAGCTCAGGAAGAAAATGTCCCCAGACTCCCTAATGGCAGAGACTGACCCCTGCTCATCTCAGGGCCCTGCAAGGCTGGCTCAAAGCTGAGGTCACACGAGAGGTTTGCTGAGTTGGATGTGAATGGGTTTCTTGGCCTTCCTGTGACTGCACGTTGCTGTGGTTTAAGGTGGGTTCATCCAATCTTCTTATTCGTTTTTAGCCCCAACATGGCCTATAGCTGAAGCCTCAGTCAGCAACTGCTGTAACAGGAAGCCCACCCTTCTGGGGTCAGGCTGACCTGGGAGGGTCCAGGCTCCTGTACCTGCCAGCTGTTTGGCCTCAGGAGATTCACCTTACCCCTCTGGCCTGACATCTTCATGGGCTGTGAAGGATGGGGAGCTTTGCCAGCTGCAGCCAGAACCAAGCATGAGCTTCGAGTGCAGCCTCCCAGGTCCCATCTGAGCAGGCTGATAGGAAGCATCCTAAATCCGGAGCCCCCAGTGGGAGGGGAGCAGAGGGGACCACTCTTGGGCCCCGGGCAGCACTGGCATTGTGCTCTGCTCTGCAGATAGCTGCGCCGCACTCTGCAAAGGCTGACTGGACCGCTCACCGCCCACCACCCGTCCCGCTCTCCCTGAACTGCTCAGCAGCTGCACAAAGGCTGGAGGGCAGAGATGGGCAGCTCTGGGGAGCAGCTCGCAGGATCTGCAGGAACCTGATGCGCAGGCAGGCTACTGCTGCTGTGCTTGAGACAAAGGAGTTCAGGAACTTTCCTTCCCATAACAAAGTCCTTAGGCCCAGGTGGGGAAAATGCTAGAATCTGTAGGGGTCCTCAGATGGCCAGATGCCTGTGTTGGAGGGCAAGGTAAGTGTGTAGCCCAGAATGTCTGGGCTGAAGCCCCAACTCCGCCACTAGCTGTGTGTCTCTCTGGGGATTCTTTCTAATCTCCACGGTCTGTTTTTGTACAATAGGTCTGACGACATTCCCTATCTTAGAGGGATGTTGGGAGTATTGTGGGAGGCAGAATAATGGTCCTCAAAGATGTCCATCTTCTAATTTCTGGAACCTTGTGACTATGTTACCTTATATGGCAAAGGGTCTTCTCCTACCGCCCCCAACACCCCCAACACCACTGGCAAGAGTCAAATAAATTCTTGTAAATAGCTCTGACCCAGATAATGAACATGCACACAGGTGATGTCCCTTATCTGGCCTATGGAGCACACACTCAGTGCCTTTCTGAATTGATGGCTGGAGTGTGTTGACCTCTACCTTCTAGTTCTGGCCTTGAGTCACTACCCCTGTCCCCAGAGCCAGGGGCCACACCCCTCGCCTAGATGGCAGGGCCCTGCCTACGTCACTACTTGCATTTCTTCTCTATCTGAATAGCTGAGGCCTTTTCTCCTGGTTCCACAGTCAACCTCTGTTTTCTACTCCATACCCCAGGATCCCTTTGTTACCACCTTCTGATGTGCAGTTTTACCACAAAGATTCTTGCATTAGATGAAAAGGAATACCCAAGTGAAACCATAGGTACTTGAATTTTGCACAGGCGCGTATAGTTGGAAAGGGTGTTTCTGCACTTCAACTTTTGCCTGTGCCCCTGCGAACTCTGGTATGGACAGGACAAAGGTAGACATGCCCCTATCCCAGGCAGGATCTTCTCATACCTGTTCCCAAAGAGCCTCTACTCATGGCCTGAGCCTGGGGTGCTCCCTCAGTGGACAGCCAATAGATCATTTCTCAGGGTGGCTGGGGTGGCTTTACTGCTTTGCGACCAATCATAGATTTACTGGTTCACTGGGCCACAGTGAGGCCCTAGCACACTCAGTTCACAGCCACCACTTCCCAGGATGTCTAAATTCAGCTGACACTCTTGGTACCCTTCCCAGACTCCTCAGCACTCACTGTTCCCATCACGCTGCCAGTGGTCTCCTTCCTCAAGCATCTGCAACTGTCCCTGAAGGCTGTCTCTGTCTGCAGAGTTTTGTCCATGTGAGGGTAGGCTAGAAATGTCGGTTACTCCCCAGAAAGCAGTTCTCAAGGACTTGGGGGGTGGGAGTGGGTGGGTAGAGCCCCAGCCTCACTTCTTGGATGAGACCCCTCTGAAGCCTGTTCTGCACTGTGTCCAGAAGCCCCTGTGGGAACTGAGCTAGGATGCCTGCAGCAGCAACCCACTCACTAGCATGTCTGGGCTGGCTTTCTTCCCTTCTCTGACTCCCTTCCTCATGCCAGATCCTTGTCTCAGGCTCTGCTTCTAGGGGAGGCCAAGCTAAAGAAAACACTGGCTGACAGCAGAGCCGGCCCTGCCATGTACACTGGCTTCTCTGCAAGGCACTTTTACTTAGTGCATTAACAACGACATTGTCAAACTTGGAAGTTTAAAATATTGTTTTGTAACTGCTAACGTGACAGTAGAGCAGTTCTTTAGGAAAATTATTCCCCTTCCTCCTGCCACATCCCAATTCTCTGCCTTGGAATTTATAATCATCCTTACCTAAATATTCTTGATCTGTGCTAGTGTTTTTCCCTGGCTTTATTTCCAGGTATTGTGTTTAGATTTTCACCCTGAGATGTTCCCATTGACTAATTTCTTTCCTTGCATTTATCGTGAATTTAAAAATCCTCGTTTCGCATTACCCAAAAGCTCATTGTCCAGATAATTGATGGGACTTTCTAATTTCTTCCCCATGTGAGTATGCTGTCGATTTGGCCCACATTTCCGAGTCATGCCTGGAGACTGTGCTGTGGCTCCTGCGGGAGGAGTGTCACGAAGGTCTGCCCTTCCCAGGCCAGGGGCATGGCAACACCCCCACCAGGGCTGCAGAGCTGGAAGGTGCTCAGGCCTACCTGGGCTGATCTCAAAGAGGTGCTTCCCTGGGTCCTCGGGGCCAGGAGGAAGTTCAGTCACCTGTGTCCCTTGTAGAGAAATAAATCCCTAAAAAGGAGGCAAACACAAACACAGGGAGCATGAGATGATGGGGAGGGGACTGCTGTCGTCAGGGTCCCTGGAGAGGAGAGGTTAGGACCTGGGGCCCTCCAGGCCATGGCTGGGAAGGCTGGGCCTCAGAGAGGGGCACACACCTCCTCTCCTAGGGAGAGATGAGGCCTACTCAGAGTCCCAGGTGGATTAAGGTGGACACTGTAGTCTGCATACATGATTGGAGGAGCTCTGCCCACAGGCAGGGGGAACTCTGGAGCAGGGAGGGAGGCTCCCACCACTGGGAGCGCCTGATCCAGTGTGCCACCTAAGCCTTTCTGGGCCAGCAGGGTTTCAGGCTGGACAGGGTCAGGGAGAAGCCTGGCACTCTGGCTCCTGAGGCAACATGGGGGAAAGGATCAACAGATCTGTGTGCGTCCAGTCCTGCCACGTCTTGGCTGGGTGAGATTTCATTTCTTTACCAATGAGATAGGAGTCAGTTACCATGTACATGGTACCCCACTACAGAGAGTGCCAGGTGCCTGGGGTGCATGTGTATGCATGACAGAGGGCGGCTCCACCTGCTCTCTAGTGCTGAGGTCTGGCAGCTGGGCTGAAAGGTGCAGAAAAAAAGCATGAGGTATAGGGACGGGGAGGCTGGCTTTGAGTCCCAGCCTTGCACTTCCAGGCTGTGTGACCTCAGGTAACCCGCTCAATGTCTCTGAACCTCAGTTTCCACATCTGCACAATGGGACATGTCTCAGGAGGGTCGAGATGCCAGATTCCCATGTGGTAAGTCCTACTCAAGAGAATGAGGTGTTATAACCGCTGTGATTGACCCTTCCCCAACCCCCAGGCTAGGCAGGGCCTCCTTTATCCTCCTTCTGTATGTCAGTGACTATGAGCTGTGCTGAGGCCTTTATTTCATTCATGCTTGGTTTTGCTCAACTCAGACTTGGTATGGCTTCACTACATATTTTTGGTCCTCTCAATGGGAAACGCATTTTGAACTCCATCCCTGCAACCAACTACCTGGGTTCAAATCCTGGCTCAGCTACAGGAACATTGTTCAACCTGTCTGTGCCCCAGTTTCCTTGTCTGTGAAACAGGAATAATAAAGTACTTTGTAGGGATATTTGGAGCATCAAATGAATTAGTACTTGGAAGTTCTTAGTACTTAGTACTGGTACACAGTGAGAACTGTGTAAGTGTTTGCTAAATAAATGCCTGCTATTATTGTATATAAGGGCTCCACACCTAGTGGGGCACCGCATCCCTGTGTCTGCATTTACCCAGGTGAGGGGCAAAGTCACCTGCTGTATCCAGGTCGCCTCCTGCCTCTACCCCCATGTGTACTCACAGAGTACACACCCCCAATATTTTCCAGGCAAATCCTGGCTTTCACAGGGTGATGGGAGCCTCCCATGTGCTGCTGGAATCCTGCGCTCCAAGGACACATGGAAGTGACTCTTCTCATTTAAGCAACGTTAATGTGGAAAGGCAGAACATCGTCCTTACCCGCAGATGCTTGCTTTAGAGGAATTACAGCAATAAACCAGAGAACCAGCTGGTAATCTTTGTAACTGAATTGATGGTTACTTTCTTGCTAGAGAACTTGGAGCTACTGGAAATACATTAGGATAGCAGCCCCAGGATGGAGAAATGTGCTCATTAGAGGGTGTGGGTGAGATCCATCACTGGCTAACGGGATGCATCTTGGGCGTTTGCTGTTTCAGTAACAGAGTCCCTGTGTCATTCTAGGTACTTTGCTGTTTTTTTTCCTGTGTCCCAAAATCTGTCATCCGTACAAGGAGAGTAACAATATTGACATTGACATTGCTTTCTACTATAGCTAAATGGAAAAGCAGTAATAGCTTCTGTTTATAAAGACTGTACTATATTCCTGGCTCTTTGCCTAAATTACTGGATTTAATGTAGAGACCCCAGAGGGGTAGACACTACCATTCCTGTCTTCCCAGACAAGCAGACAGAGGTCAGGAAGGTGATGCAACCAGCCCTGTGCCCACCGCCCACAAGGGTGTGCTGGGGACGTCAGCTCAGGTGTGCCCAATGCTGGAGCCCCAGGCTTTACTCTTTGCTTCCCTATCTTTATCATGGCAGCCACCAACTGACTTTGTTTGCAAGAAGCCACCGTGGAGAGCCAGGCTGTGACTGTGGGATCTGCTGCTCACTTCTCAGGGGAATCCCAGTGTGCCCCCCACCACTGCAGGGGCCCTAGCACTGGCCCTCGGCTGCCCAGATTCCTCTGCCTCCCACAGGTCAAGAATGTGGCTCTGGGACTGGGTGGGGGTTGGGGGCCTGGGGAGCAGAGGGAGTCTGCTCTCTGGTCCCTGGTATGACATTTGCTAAGACTGTGATGAAAAGATGTGAATGGAGTCAGAACATAGCATTCAGCTGAGACACTCAGGGTAGGTCTCAACTTTGAACGTGCCTTGGAGTCACCCCAGGGCTTGTTAAAACACAGAGAGTCTGGTGTTTTGGTGGTGTTTAACAATGGGGTCTCTGAAAACTATAAAGTACCTGGATTTGGAGTGTTTGCTAACTTCAGTGATATAAATGCCCTCCCCCTCCATGGCCCATTTTATGACATCATTGCATGTGGAGCTGAGAAGAGATGCACCATAGTGTTTGCACCACATGGATGCAATGGATGTCAGTAACCTCCAGAGCTTAAGACATAGTACGTGAAGTCATAGTACATTAAGTTAGGAAATGATATATTTTGAATACTTTTTAACCTTTGTTTTTACTATAACTTATTTATCAGTAGATTTTTGCGATTTAATGTTTTTTTTTTGTTTTTTTGTTTTGTTTTGTTTTGTTTTGCTTTTTTGGGTCTTGCTCTGTGGCCCAGGCTGGAGAGCAGTGTTGCGATCATGGCTTACTGCAGCCTCTACCTACCGGGCTCCAGTGAGCCTCCCACCTCGACCTCTATTTGGGACCATAGGTGTATGCCACCATGCCTAGCTAATTTTTGCTATTTTTTAATTTTCAGTAGAAACGGGGTTTCCCTATCTTCCCCATGCTGGTCTCGATTTCCTGGGCTCAAGCAATCTTCTTGCCTCGGCCTCCCAAAGTGTTGGGGTTACAGGTGTGAGTCACACCACCCAGCCTGATTCAATTTCTAATAATGTAAGTGTTCAATCAGAATAGTGCTGGACCCCACCCTTGAGTTTCTAACCCTATAGGTCTGGGGAAAGTAGGACCATTTGCATTTCTAACCATTTTTCTGATGCTGAGAGCCCTGGGGAATACACTTTGAGAACCACTAGTCTAGGGACACTAAAGGAAGGTGGCCAGAGGATGACACCTTTTACATGAGCTCACTCAGCACCTTGGTTTCCTTACCTAGAAAATGAGGACAATAATAGTATCTGCTTCATGAGGCTGTCGTGAGGATTAAATGATTTGATATCTGGCCCCATGGCCTTTGAGAGCCTGTGTTTTGCCAAGATTCTGTGCTTTAGACGCATGCAGGTCACAAGAACCAGTACCTGTTTCTGGCACCTCAGACAGTGCCCTCAACTATGAGGGTCCTGGGAATTCTTTGAGGAGCGCAAAGTGAGTGTCAGCACTTTGCCAGCTGGCCTTCCTACTATAGTGCCAGGTCAGGGCTTAAGTGTTTGTATCTCAGAAGGAACCAGGCACACAGTTTGCACCTAGAACGGCAGTTTGCAGACGGGCACCTAGGTACAGAAAGAGTGTGCAAACTCCAGGCACATGATAGATTTCCACAAATGTTGGGCCCTTTCCCCCTTCCCCATGTGTCCGAGCTCATGTTAATTTGCTCTGTTAGGGAATTGCTCAGCCTATGTATCTAAGTTCCTCCTGAGAGGCTGCAGCTGACTTAATGCATCTCTAGCGCCATACAAATGCAGTCCATTGGTGTAAGTAGCTAATGGACAAAGGATGTGCCATTTTGTCTGCATCTAGGAGGGCTCAGTATTTGCAAGTTTTAGACATTGCAAAATTGCTTTCAAAAAGTCTTTATCAAATTATGTTTCATCAAAAGTGTATGAGAATGCCCATTTCTGTATGCTGTTCCCATTGCATGGTCATTAAGTGCTGATTGTCCTTTTAAATGGAGAATCTTATGACATATTTATTGACCATTTGTATTTCTTCTATTAATTCCTTGTTAACATCCCTTATCCACTTTTCTATTGGGTTGTCTTTTATTTTAACAATATATTTTATTTAACATATTTATTTATATTGGATAACCCAATATGTCAAAAAATCAGCATTTCAACAAGTAATCAATATAAAATTATTAGTGAAATAGTTTACATCTTTTATAGTAAATCTTTGGAATCTACTTATAGCATATCAGATTTACATTGCAAGTTTTTATCAAATATATGTGATCTGTATTTCGATCTTATCAAATTTGAAGTAGATTCATGTACCCAAATTGTTTCAGATATACTGTAGTAGGTAGAATAATGGCTCCCCAAAAGATATGCCTGTCCTAATCCCTGGAACATGTGAATATGTTATGCTACATGACAAACATTTAATTAAGGTTGCAGATAGAATTAAGTTTGCTAACCATCTGATCTTAAATCTAGTAGTATTAGAACTCCAACTTAATTATTCTATTTCAAAATTGTCTGGCTATTCTAGGCCCTTTAAATTTCTATATGAATTTTAGAATCAGCTAGTCAATTTCTATTAACAGAAAAATGCCTACTGGGATTGTGATCGGGATTGCATAGATCAATTTGGGGAGAATTGACATCCTAACAATAATAAGTCTTCTGACCAATGAACACAGTATAACTCCTCATTTATTTAGAGCTTTCATTTTCCCCAACAATAATAACTCATTTTTTACTTCAGTAGATTTTTGCAGGCTTCATCAGATTTTTGACATAAACAATTATGTTGGGTATGGATACAGTTTTACTTCTTCCTTTCCAATGTGAACAACTTTCATTTCTTTTTCTTGCCTTATTACACCAGGCAGGACTCCATGAAAGTGTTTTATGGAAGTGGTGAGAATAAATATCATTATCTTTATCCTGATCATAGGGAAACAGCTTTTAGTCTTTCACCATAAAGTATGATATTAGCTTTCAGTTTTCCATAGATGGCTTTTCACAGGTTTAAAGAAGCTCCTTTGTATGCCTGGTTTGTTGAGAATTTTTATCAGGAAGCAATATTGAATGCTGTCAGATGCTTTTTCTGAATCCATGAGATGATTATTTTTTCTCTTTCTTCATTTATTAATATGATGAATTACATTAATAATTTTCAAACATTAAATCAACCTTGGACTTTTGGGATAAACCCCACTTTGTCATTATGTATTTTCTTTTTTATGTATTGTTAGATTCAATATGCTAAAATTTGGTTGAAAATTTTTTCAACTAAGTTCACAAAGAATATTGATCTATAGTGTCTTTGTCTTGTAATGTCTTTGGCTAGATTTATATAGGGGTAATGCTAACCTCATAAAATACATTGGAAAGTATGCTCATTCTGAAATAGAATAATCAAGTTGGAGTTCTAATACTACTTGATTTCAAGACATTGTAAAGCTACAGTAACCAAAACAATGAGATATTAGCATTAAAATAGACAGATTAATGAAACAGAATAGAAAGATCAGAATAGACCCACATATACCTCCATATCTATCTATCTGTCTCCATATATGGATAATTGATTTTGACAAAGGTGTAAAGGCAATTCATTGGAGAAGATATTGTTTCAACAAATGATGGTTGAGCAACTGCATATTTGTGTGCAAAAAAATGAATCTCAATTCATACCTCACACCATATATAAAAATATACTCAAAATGAATGATATACCTAAACACAAAATCTGAGACTATAAAACTTCTAGTAGAAAACCTTTATGACTTTGGATTAGACAAAGAGTTCTTGGATACAACATCAGAAGCTTGACTCAAAAAAGAACTAATTGATAAATATGACTCATTTAAATTAAAAAAACTGCTTTTCAAACACATTAAGAGAGTGAAAAGACAAATTACATACTAGGAGAAATATTTGAATATCATGTATCTGATAAAGGACTTGTACCCAAAATATATAAAATACCATCAAAATTCTATAATAAGGTAACAATCCAATTTAAATAAAGAGGCAAAAGATTTAAACAGATAATTACTATAGAAGATATAGGATTGGAAGATAAGCTCATGAGATGATCTTCAACATCATTAGTAGTTAGGAAAATGCAAATTAAACCCATAATTGGATACCACTACATATCTATTAGATAAAGTAAAAAGACTGACCAGACTAAGTGTTGGTGTGGGTGCAGAGGACCGAGAATTCTTATACACTGTTGGTGGTAATGTTAAACGACAATCACTTTGGAAAACAGTTAAGCAGACTCTTAAAAGAGTTAAACATACTGCCCGGAGCAGTGGCTCACGCCTGTAATCCCAGCACTTTGGGGGGCCGAGGTGGGCAGATCACGAGGTCAGAAGTTCGAGACCAGCTTGACCAATATGGTGAAACCCTGTCTCTATTAAAAAATACAAAAATTTGCGGGGTGTGTTGGCACGTGCCTGTAGTCCCAGCTACTCAGGAGGCTGAGGCAGAAGAATCTCTGGAACCCGGGAGGCAGAGGTTGCAGTGAGCTGAGATCGAGCCACTGCACTCCAGCCTGGGCAACAGAGCAAGACTCCATCTCAAAAAAAAAAAAGAAAAAAGAGTTAAATACACACCTGGGATACGACCCAGCCATTCCGCTCCTACATATACCCAAGAGAAATGGAAGCATATTTCCCTACAGAGATTTGTATGCAAATCATTGCAGTTTTATTTCTAATATCCAAAAATTTGCTATAATGCAAATGGCCTTCACCAGGTAAATGGATAAGCAAATTGAGGTACCTGCATACAGTGCAATACTACCCAGCAATATGAATGAATGAACTCTTAATGCACGCTGCAACATGGATGCTTCTCTAAATAATTATGCCATGGGAAAGAAGACAGACAACAAGCCAGAGTACATACTGTGTGATTCCATTTCTATAAAAGTGTAGAAAATGAGAACTAAGCGGATCAGCCTGGGGTCAGGGGTCAGGAGGGGCAAAGGGAGTGGGAGGAGGGATTACAACAGGATACAAGGAAGCTTTTGGCAGTGATGGATATGTTTGCTGCCTTGATTGTGGTGATAGTGTCACAGATGCACATCTATATTAAGACTTACCAAACTGTGCCCATGAAATATGTGCAGTTCATTGTATGTCAATTATACCTCAATAAAGCTGTTAAGAAAAACTGAATTTGATTCAGTTATCAAAAAACTTTTAGAAATATGTATTTGTTTCCTAACAGATTACTAAAAATGTAGCGGCTCAAAACAACAAAAATTTATTTTCTTACAGTTCTGGAGGTCAGAATTCTGCAATGGGCCTTACTGGGCTATAGTCAATAGCTGGCACGACTGTTCCTTCTGGAGCTCTAGGGCAGGATCTGTTTCTCACTTTTCCAGCTTTTAAAGTCTTCCTGCACCCTTCCACCATCTTCGAAGCCAGCAGCCTCACATCTTCAAATCACTCCGACTCTGACCTCTTTGTCTGCCTCCCTTTCCACTATAAAGAACTCTTATGATTATATTAGATCCACTTGGATAATCCAGGATAATTTTTTTTTTTTTTTTTTTTTTTTGAGACGTATTCTTGCTCTGTGCCCCAGGCTGGAGTGCAGTGGCGCAATCTTGGCTCACTACAAGCTCCGCCTCCTGGGTTCATGCCATTCGCCTGCCTCAGCCTCCCCAGTAGCTGGGACTACAGGCGCCCACCACCACGCCTGGCTAATTTTTTGTATTTTTAGTGGAGATGGGGTTTCACCGTGTTAGCCAGGATGGTCTCGATCTGACCTCGTGATCCGCCCGTCTCGGCCTCCCAAAGTGCTGGGATTACAGGCGTGAGCCACCGCACCTGGCCAATCCAGCATAATTTCTTTAAGGTCAGATGGTTAGCAACCTTAATTCTATCTGCCACCTTAATTAAATGCTTGCCATCGTAACATAACATATTCACATGTTCCAGGGATTAGGACAGGCATATCTTTCGGGGAGCCATTATTCTACCTTATACTACAGTAGACTACAGTATATCTGAAACAAGTTGGGTATGTGAATCTACTTCAAATGTAGATTTGATAAGATCTAAATACAGATCACATATATTTGATAAAAACTTGCAATGTAAATCTGATATGCTATAAGTGGATTCCAAAGATTTGCTATAAAAGATGTAAACTATTTCATTAATAATTTTATATTGATTACTTGTTGAAAGGCTGATTTTTGGACATATTGGGTAATCCAATATAAATAAATAAAATATGTTGTTAAAATAAAAGACAACCCAATAGAAAAATGGGTAAAGGGTGTTAACAAGGAATTAATAGAAGAAATACAAATGGTCAATAAATTTGTCATAAGATTCTCAATTTAAAAGGACGGTCAGTACTTAATGACCATGCAACAGGAAGAGCATACAGAAATGGGCATTCTCATACACTTTTGATACATAATTTGATAAAGACTTTCTGAAAGCAATTTTGCAATGTCTAAAACAACTTTAAAATAAAATGTCCTGTAACCTTGTATTGAATTTTAAGAATTTGTTCTAAGGAAAAACAAATGCACAAAAATGGATGCATAACAATCCTCAATGTAACATTTTTTACTACACAAAATGAGAAATGACTTGTTCATCTGTCAACAGAGGAACGGTTAAATCATTTCTGGTAAGGCCATACCAGAATGAGGTACATACAAAAGGTTTCTAAGATGAATTGCTAAGAAATAAGAACACCAGAAAAATAATTTTAATACAATTCCATCCCAGTGTCTGTTACTGTCCTCTCCCCAGAGCCCACAAGTTACATGTTAATGTATAGAAATAGCACAGAAAACTTACACTCTGGGAGGGAGTGGTGGGAATGGTGAAGGAGCTTTCATGTTTTGCCCTATAATGTTTGCATCAACGTAAAATTTAAACAACGTTAAAGTTGAAATGGAAAGCAGTCAGCTAATTCATGCAGCACTGCCCATGCCCTACTCACGGGCTGCTGCCATCTGACTACCATCATACTCTCCGACCTCATGTGCTGGGGCCAGGCCAGCCTGCACAGTGTTTCTGCAGCCCAGAATGCCCATCCATCATTTTCAGGAAACAAAGAGTGATTTCCCTCTCTCTTCTGCAAGCATTTAGGGTGACAGTCCCCTCAAGCTTCCTCAGACTGAAATAAAGTGGCAAGTACTTTCCAGGTCCTCTGATCAGGGTCTGCACACATCCCTGCCTGCAGGAAGCCCCTGCCCACATCAGGAGACTGCCATAGCTCATTTTGCAAAGAATGATCCGTCTTGGGAACAGCTCCCAGAACACCGGATGGTCTGGAAGCCTCAGCTAAGTCCAGGGGAATAAAGGAGATTAACAACAGCAACAGCGACAATGATTTCTACTGACATGTCTCTAGTCAGATGTCTCACACCCAGAACTCACCCAAATCGTAAAAAGATAAGCACCCATTACATAATAAATCCGAGATCCTGTAAGACTGTCATGGAAACCTCACAGGTTTTAGCCCCAGACAGATCTGGTTTTAATCCTGACTACTGCTTAGTGATAGTAAACTTTGGGACAAGTTTAGCCTCAGTTTCTCTCTCTGTTAAATGGGGTAGTGGCATCTCCCTCACAGATCTCTGAGAATTAAACGGGATCAAGTGAGCAGAAGGTGTGGAATGGAGCTGGGCTGTAGCAGGTACCCAGGATGGCAGCATCCTAAGAAAGGGCAGTGCTGCAGAAGTTTTGTGTGAGCTCATGACTGGGGGTCAGGGTCAGACAGGTCCTCCACCAACCCGGCTGAACCTCCGTTTCCTCCTCTGCAATGTGGAGGTGTTTTGAGGATTTCCCCAGGTTTAGTGCCCAGTAAGAGTAAGTGCTATTGCTGTGATCATGCATTATTATAGGGCCAAGGAGTAGACTCTGTGCATGAACATTTTATAGGAGTGGGAATAGATAGAAACACTTAGAATTATTATAGGGTTTGTAATTACTGTGACATTGCCGCTTAGGTAGAACACAGACAGGTGTGTTCCAGCCTGTTCCACCAGGCTGAGGCCTGGTTTCTTTATGTGTAAAAATGAAGATATTTGTCCCAGATTTGTCACTGGGCCATCTGAGATAGAGCTGTATATACACTAGGGGCCTATATAAATATGAATTATCATAATTATGACTTCAAAACTCATTTTGGTCACTGTATCATTTGTTTGGTCTGTTTGTAGAAACAATCTCCCCTCCCCTAATAATACCATTGCTTGTGCCATGAAATGAGGTGTGAAACAGACTTCAGTAGTCCTAGCATGGTGAAGGCAGGGCCCTGCTTCCTAGTGTGTGATGACAGTCCATGGGGACCTCCTGCAGGGCCCGGGATGTCTGTAATCCTCCTATTGGCCAGCCTTTGGAGTTTGTGACAGTTTGAGGTCTTTGCAGTCTGAATTCAGCTCTTTTCAACATGATCAAAGACTGGCTCTCTGGGAAGTCTTCATTTTTCACCTTGTCTAGGAGACTGCCTGAAGAAACAACTTCTGCAATTCTTTTTACCAAGTCTCCTGATAAAATCCTCCACAGGCAGCATCTTGGAAAATGGCAGGCATGTTTTAGAAAGCAATCGCTCAGGGTTCCCTATCTCTGTTAACTCTGATTGGGGCCTCAGATCAATCTTAAAAACCGTTATCCACCTGACACCCAACCAGGAACTGAATGTCTCTGAGTTGTACATAAATAATACAGATCAGAATGAAGTTCAGTGCCAAGGAGGGAAGCATCCTCCTTGCTTCCTTATCACACAAGCCTGTAACCATGCCCCATGACTGTCCAGAATACAGATTTAAAAAGGCATTGTGAAAATTGGAGATAATTGAGTTCTTGGTAAAGGAACGTTCCCTCCCTAAGGAGTTGAGATACATCATTTGTCCAGCTTCTTTCCTTGCTGATGACTTTCTCTTGAAGCTTCTTCCAACAGATTCCGCAGTAACGCTGCCACCTGTGAACCTGTGAACTCCAAATGCTCTTGTTATGATCCACAGGTCTGCAGTCAGCAGATCGGACCTGGGAACGCCCTGCTTCTTCACTGTGTCATGAGGCTATCCATGGTCCTCTTAGAAAATCTTTAGCACATGTGGTGTGCCACAGGGACAGTGTGTTGAGGTCAGCACCATGTTCTGCAGAGAGCAGGGGCTTTGAACTCAGAACACCGGCTCCCTGCACCCTCCCTATCCCTCCCAACTGGCCACAGCCCCTAAAGCTCTTACTTTCAGTGTTGCACAGCTCAGGCCCTGAGCCTGTGGAAGTCCAGCTGGGAGTCATGAATGAGCCCAGGGCCTGGGGCCTGAGACCTGGGGTAGACTTGCAGCCTAAGCTGGAAACCCTGGTGGAGCCCTCAAGGATCTTCAGGTCTCAGAGCTCATGGCCTCTTCCAAACCCCAGGGAGTGCCCTTTTCAGGGTGAGTGGGTCCTCTTTGCAAAGTTCTGGTTGCTCTGTGGTAAGCCAGGACCTTGCACTAGACTCCGTGCCAAACAGGGTGCCTGTGACTTGCCCTGAGTCACTCCTGGGGTCTACCCCTTCAGGCAGCCTCATCTCACTGTATTCCTGAGCCCTGCAGAAGACCCTGTGGTTGAGGCTGCACTACTGGTCCTCACCCAGTGGCCTTAGGCTCAGCCTCTCTTCCTCTCAGTCTTGTCATTCATGTGAACATTCTAATGCCTGCGACCATGCTCATGGGAATGAGATGCCATGCCACGTTGGGAAGAGTCACTAGTACTAGTGCCCCGGCCTTGGTGGCAGCCCAGGGCTGGGTGCTGAGCAGTGCCACAGGGAAGCAGCAGGATTAATGTGGAAGTGACTAGTGAACAGAATGCTTACCCAGGGGAGCTCTTGAATCCCCTAGTGTTTAGCTTGCCCTGGGAGAAGGGAGGAGAGGCCAAGGTGCACGTGATTTTACAACACATTTGGGGCAGACCATTAGTGTCATCAAATCTCCATGGGCTGCTCTCTGAGTGTCCTTTGTGCTTAGGTTGGGGCCATGGTATGGGGTTCTGGCCAGTGGGATTGGGCAGGAGTGACAGCATCCACTTCCAGGCCTGGTCCTTTAAAAACTGCCAGTGACCTCCAGTCTTCTCTCCTATCTCTCCCCCTGAGTCAACCTTGGTGACCACAGAGACAGATGAGGCCAACATCTGGCCCACCACAGACATTACTACAGTGAGAGGTAAACTTCTATTATGTTTAGCTGCTGGGATCTCAAGGACATTTAACATTGTTCATTTTACTAATTAGATGTTATTTTGAGAAAATAAGTGTTAGAGAATTTTGTCCTTAGCTGATCACCTGGCCACATGAACAAAGAAGTTATAAAATCATAGCACTAATTAAACATCGTATTTCCATGCTGGTAAATCCATTTAACTAATAATGATGATTTCCTTGCTCCATGGATTGGATGTTGGGAAGGAAAAAGAAAGGAGAGGTCAGTCTCATCTACTTTGACTCTGGGGACCTTGGGCTGCTGGGAGCTGTCTTACTCTGATGGTTAGAAGCACTGAGCATGGCATGTCTAGGTTCTGGCTCAAGCTGTGATGGCCGTGTAGTACGCACTTCCTGCCTCACTTTTTGGACTGGAGCATTGGAGGGAGCCCAGAAAAGACTGATCTAGATCACTGTCCAAGAGGGGTTGTGGACCCCATGCCCATTCCTGGCTGAATGACATGTCCTGGGCAGCATGAGATCCTGGGAGTTTGCAAACGACCCTGCTTCCTCCTTGGCTTACTGGACCATATGGTAGGCCTCTTTGCCCCCTGAAGTACCTGGTGTTCCATGTAGAGGGGCTAAGGGGGAAACTCAGATGAGCTGAATCCCTCTGGCTGCCCACGGCATTTGGTGGCTGCATAAGACACTGCAGTTGAGACAGGTATGTTCACAGGGAACCAGCCCTCAGAGGGCACATGCGCTGAGCCTCTCCAGAGGGAGTGACCGCCCACTTTTTAGTATTTTCTCTGATCTGGGACTCAGGTGGATATGGGCATTGACTGCTGCACCATTGTGATGCTCACCGTCTCCGCTGCTCTTCAGAGCCTGCCGGCTGGGTGTGAAACAGCCTCTCCTGTTCCTCCAGAACTGGGAGCTCTTGGTAGGTGCTGCCTGGCCCCCACCCCCACCAGGAAGAGCCCTTGGGGACACAGGGCCTCTCCACTGCCTGGGTTGGCAGCACTGAACCACCGGCCTGCTCTTCCATGCCATGGTCCCTGCCATGTTTTCCAGGGTTGCACAGTGTTTCCAGTCTTCTCTGCCCACGAAGAACAGACCCAGCTACTCAGACTGGGAGCGCTGGTGCTGTCCTGTCTTGTCCTGAGCCTAAGAGCACACTCTTGGAAGATTTTTTTCTGCTCAAAATACACCTTTGGGACATGTTGATGCTGGGTCCAGGGCCCCTCCTTGGAGTGGGTGGGGCCCTCCTTTGGCTGAAAATGGTTTGATTCTGTCTTATTTCTGGGAGGCCCTGAAACTAGTGCTATGCTCTGGGGTATATGGTGTCTCTGTGAGAGAGGCTGCCATGCTGCTTAGTTGAGCACAGGTTAGCCTGAGTAACATGGTATAGACACTTTTGCATTGACCTGCCCTGGCTGTGCCAGGCTGATCTGCTGAGCCAACTGCTGCCAAGGGGCACTGGCTGCATTTTGCTGAGGAAGGCACACCTCATCCCTGTCTTTAGCAAAGGCCACAGTCCATTTGGGAAATGTACCCATCGTCCTCGGCAGCCCTTCCAAACCACCTCCATTATGCTGATCAACTGTAACTCAGTATTCCACCAATGCATTAAGGAGCTAGAATGCTCCAAACACAATGAAACATAAGTTATGCTCTTCTGAACAATGAATAAAATATGTTTCCCATGCTGCTTCAATGTTACTTGATTCATTTTTCTGCCTTGTGATTGATAAAACTCATAATTTAACTATCAGTTTTCTACGTATTACTGTAAATTAACTGGGTTGCAATGAAAGCCAAAGGATTGCTCTATTATAAGTGTGAGACCTTTAAGTGCTGTAAACTAATATCCATGCTGACTTAAATTAGCAGATCCTGAGAGAAGCTCATTACTACCGGTAACACTGGAAGAAACACAAAAGTCATTTTTAGAAGGTGGAGATCCGTCTTGTAGGCAGTATAGCTCTGGGTGCAAAACAATTCGGGGGCAACCAAGACATTGTCACTTGTGATTTATTTGGTCTTGAGGTGTCATCAGGCCTCTTCTAACTTGATTTCCTTTTCCTAGGACAGTAGCAGAATTTTGCTGTCCATACATTAGTCCCCAGACATTGCTGATGCTGTCATTTCAGGGGCCTGCTCTCAGAACCCTGCAGGATGGTATAAAACAAACCTTAAAATGTATTTTGTATGATTACTTAAATCTTGTGTTTTTCTTTGACATGCAGAAAAAATGGTTTTAACTAAATATTGTTTGAAATTTGTTTAAAAACACAGCTGCTACTGCCAATTTCAAGTTAGTAAATAAATTTATATTTGACTTAAAATAACTTGCTTGAATAGAGTTTTCATTTTGATATGTTTAATGTGGGGAATTATGGTTCTAAAATAGCTGCAAAAATACAGCATCCCTTTAAAAAAGCCACAAAGTCTCACAGTTGAATCTAAATAAATGATACCCCTCTCTCTTTTTATGACTCCAATGAGTAATTCTTCACAGAAGAAGCATTTCAAGTTGTCCCCCAGGACATTTTAAAAAAGGAAATATCTGTTGTTGAATTTTTCTTCTGCAGCACTAATGGGAGTGTGAAGCTCAGTTCCTAATTAACTCAAGGTGCTCTCTAACGTGCTGCAGAAGACACTTTTCAATCATCGCTGGCTTATCCTGGGGCAGAGAGGGTCTGAGGGATGCATCAGAGCCTGTCTTTTATGCTCAGGTTTGTTTTTTTCTGAGTGTAGACAGACTGACTGAAATTTGCTGTGGCAAGATCTATGGGAGCAGCTTGGGAGGTAATCAGTTGCTTGTTCTTTTGTGGACAGAGACTTGCAGGTGGGAAGTAGGAAGGAGGGATTGAAGTCAGACTCTTCAGGGCTTCTCAGGAGGTCAGGGGCAAATTCACCAAGAGCAATGAGATCCATGAGTGACCCTATCTTCAAGGGCCCCATGGCATCAAGGTCTGTATCCATCAGCTCTCTTGCCACCAACTGTGTCTCCCCAGAGACCTTCACCTGGCCCAATAGTGGAGCCAGGGTTCCAAACGCTCTGCACGAAACGGCCATTGAGGACTGCCAGGGGTGCCCACAGTGGGACTTCTGGGAAACTGCCCTGCTCTGGCCAGACCTCCAGAGCATGCCTGCTTCTTTGGCCTCGTTTTTGACTCATCTAGGGTGGAACTTCTGAAAACTGCTAGGATTTGGCTGAATGTAGTTCTTTTTCTTCCATTCCTCTTTGCCTTATAAGGTCTCGGATGAACTTTTGACTTTTGGAGTTGAGAGGGCTCTTGGAGATCATTTCTGGCCAACTTGCTACCCAGTGGTCAGCTCTTCTCCAAGCCACTTAATCTACTAATAGTCTGGCCTCTACTTGTCCAGCACCAGGGACTGGAGCCCGCTACCACCCAGTAGACCACTCCATCAGAATGAAGTGTGGAATGGAGTGTAGAAGACAAATCGGGGAGTCTGTCCATTTGTCTTCTGGTCTTGTTCATATAAGGATTCAGAGCTTCATATACTGCCCCTTAGCAAGATTTCTTTTCTCCAGATGACTTATTCAGTTATTCCTCCTATGGACATGAGTTTGGACTCCTCTCCATCCTTGCTGCCCTGTTCTTGAAAATATAGTGCCTTGAGGGGACCGTCACTCTCCAGAAGTGACCTGGTCTGACCATGGAAAAGCTTGGTGGGGCTTCCCCTCCCTTGTTCTAATTTCTATGCATCTTAAGAAAGTCACCTAATCTCTTTGTGCCTCAGTTTCCTTATTGGGACAGTGGTGATAGTACTCATTCCTAAATTGTTTCAATCATCTACTGCTGTGTAAGAAAACTCCAAAACTTATTGCCTACAAAATAGTGATCTGTTATTTGCCATGATACCGTGGCAGGGATCAGTGGATGTTTCTTCTGCTCTATATAGCTTGGTCCAGAGTCACTGACACAGTTGCATTTGGCAGCTGAGCTGGGCTATAAGGTCCAGGAAGGAAGGCCTCACTCATTCATCTAGGCTGTGTGGTTTTTCTCTCATTCACGCTTCCTCATCATTCTGTGGTCCATTCAGACATTCTTACAGAATGGTGGCGGCTTTTCAGAGCAAAGCAGAAACATGCTTGGTTTCTTAGGGATGAGATCTAAAATTAAACTCTAAGGCCCCCACCTGACCAAATAAATACACTCTTGGCCAAGGGGAACCTAGGGAAACCTTAAAAACTGAGTTCCTGGCTGTGATAGGAGGTCAAACATGCCTTGCTACATCCTTCTTCAGTTTAGACACCACATCCGACCAGCAATAATGTTACAGTAGTGATCACACAACTGACTTTATGGCAATAAGATACCAAATTATAAATAAGACCCAAGGCCATTCCAACCAACCAACACTTAAGTCATACACCTGTACACTTAAAGAATAAACAATGTTCTAACTGCCACAGGTTTTTCTTTTTCTCTAGCAGTTAAACAGGCACTAGCCCTAAGAAACAAGTGCTAAAACAATTGTAGTTCACCGTTAGACCTTGACTAACTGACCCCCAACCCCTGGTCCACAAGTCACAACTACAGCTTTGATTGGACAAGAGATGGATGTCAGTAACTTTCTCCTGATAAAAGACCACCAACAATAGGCTGGCTCTGACCAGTTAACAAGAGGCTGCACACAGAGGGCCTTCATGTCCCTGCTTCACCTATTGCTGTATAGGGCCTGCCTGCAATGCATTTAAATGTTAAGCCTCTGCTCCAGAGTGAATATGAGTCACATTTAATATGGATGTTCAGTAGGCATGAGTCAGGACCCTCTTTGTGAATATTCATAGCTCCTCCTGTAACCCTACTTAGCTAATCTGTTCAGGACAAATTCCTGCCTTACCATCCATTCCCTCAAAGTGCCTGCCTTTCCGGGTCTACCAGAGGCTATGCTTCCCAACCTGCAGATGGCCAGCCTGCAGGTTGCAATGCTTTACGAAAAATAAGATCTCCTTTCTAAATTTATAAATTGTGTGATTTTTAAGTTAACAGAGACCAAACCTGGAAATGGCATGGCATCACTTCTGTCTTATTCTGTTTGTCAAATAGTCACAAAGACAGCTCAGATTCAAGGGGAAGGGAAATAGGCTCTGCTTGTTGGGAGAAGGGGCAGGAATAAGTGGCAGCCATCTTTGGGATTATCTACCATGTATCTTGCAGAGTTGCTGTGGGAATTAAAGCAAGTTAATACATGCAAAACACTTAGAACAGAGCCTGGTTCATCAGATATATAAAAGTTAGCTTTTATTTAGATTCAAACTGTTGATCAAACTCACGAAGTAAGGCAGAGGCGAGGTTGGAGCCATGTCGCCTGCCCCTAGACTCCACTGTTTGATTGTGTTGAATGATTTGCTAAACCTTCATAGGGTAAAGTTCCACCCAGGGGAGAAGGCCACAACTAGGGTATTTCCTACATGGTTTACCGCATGAGTTTACTCTCACCATAGTCCTATAAGATAGGTGTGGTTATTCTCAACTTACAAGGAGGAAACTGAGGCTCAGAGAGTGAAATATCTTCTCTAGTTACCAGCTAGAACCATCCTGGTTACTCAAGAGAAATCTGCCATTTTTCTCTATCACGCAAGATCCTGTAATATGACATGCTAAAATTTAGACACCAGGTATTCGTGGCAGACTTACCACCCACGAGTCTGGACTCCTAATCAAGAAAGGGAGTGAAGACCATCTGAAGGGCTGGTCTCAGGGAGCTCTGCATGTTCAGGCAATCATTGTTTTCTAGATCTGCAACTTCCTTTTTATAATTCATATTAGATGCCTTCGCATGCTTCTTGAAGGTCTTTCATTTCAGAACCCATTCTAAGAATTGTAATAGTCTTATCTCTGAGTGTTTAGGCAGCATTGACAACACTATCAACCACAGCAACTTCCATTTGTCCAATGCTTAGTGAAGCCACAGCCTCAAAGGACCACACCAAAAGTAGGAACAAGAGGGCTTCAATGATCTTCCCAAATCTATAGCTAGTAGGTGGTATAAATGGGACTTGAAGCCAGGTATTCTGGTTCCAAATATTATGGTTTTTTCCATTATAGTATGCAAGCTTTCATTCTACCTTTTTGAGCCCCACATTCTCTACCAGTACAGTGGAAATTGATTGTGCCTGGCCTTGTGGAGATGCTGTGTGAATGTTTATTGAACAAGTGTTTATTGAGCTTCTACTATGTGTCAGACATTGTTCTGGATACTGAGACACAGAGATAAACAAGATAGACAAAAACCTCACCTTGTTGGGCTTACAGTCTGATAGGGAAGGCAGTCAATAAGCTCTTTGCCAATTCTCAGGCACTTTACAAAAGCAATAAATTATTTTTCCATTGAGGATCTAATACAAATATGGGTCACACTATGCACTCATTCATTCCATTTATTTTTCTCATTTATTCATTCATTCATTCAATTATTCAAG
This sequence comes from Homo sapiens, assembly GCF_000001405.40. NCBI lineage: Eukaryota > Metazoa > Chordata > Mammalia > Primates > Hominidae > Homo > Homo sapiens. Next base: position 48,574,265 of record NC_000010.11, read on the forward strand.
TAAGCACCCAATATTACTGGATACCAATTATGTGTCAAGTACCGCTAGGTGATAGGAAAAGAGAAATAATAAGACAGATTGAAGCCCCACCTGAATGAGGTTTATGATATAGAATGGAGAACAGAAATTAAATTGAGGAAGTGTTATAAATAACAACAGCAATATCAAAACAGTAATGCAATAATAATAGCAGTGACATCCTCTTGGCTGGTTTGAGTAACAATTTACAGCTTATGAAGGATGCACAGTTAGGGCTTGCTAAGTCAACTTGAGCTGGGTGGAGGTTATGAGGTCCAGAAGTGAAGGGCATCTGACACAGGGGCGGTCCTGTGAGCTGTGAGCACAAGATGAGCTCCGACACCTGATGGCATCTTCATCGTACCCCCAGGTGGTGCTGAGATGAGGGCCATGGAAGATAGAGCCAGCCAAAGGTGTGAGGTTTTTGTGGGCAGACATTAATGGCACGGCAGGGGGTTGTCCTAGCAGTCTCACTGAACTTGTGTCAGCTTTCAGGCGCTATCTGAGAGTGAGTACCTGTTAGTCTTGGCCTGATGTCAGTCCTTCAGTTTCCTCATTTGAGAAATGGAGACAACCCAGGCATCTACTCCAGGTCAAGGACTCAGGGAAGGAGCGTGATATGGTTTGGCTCTGTGTCTCCATCCAAATCTCATGTTTAATTGTAATCCCCAGTGTTGGAGGTGGGGCCTGGCGGAAGGTATTTGGATCATGGGGGCGGTTTCTCTTGAGTGGTTAGCACCATCTTCTTGGTGCTGTCCTCAAAATAGAGTGAATTCTCACGAAATCTGGTGGTTTAAAAGTGTGTGTGGCACCTCCCTGCTCTCTCTTTTGCTCCTGCTCTGGCCATGTGACATGACTGCTCCCTCTTTGCCTTCCGCCATGATTCTAAGTTTCCTGAGGCATCTCCAGAAGCTGAGCAGAGGTCAGCATCATGCTTCCTGTACAGCATGCAGAACAATGAGCCAATTAAACCTCTTTAAAAAAAAATTATCCAGTCTCAGGTATTTCTTTATAGCAATGGGAGAATGGAGTAACAGAGTTCATGAAAGCAACATTTTATTTTTTGTTTTTGTTTTTGACGTGCAAGTTTGGTAAACAATGGGGTGGGAAATGAAGATTCCCTGCAGGCTGAAATATTCCTGTGACTTTCAAGTTATGGGATAGGATGGCCTCTCTTTCTTCCCCTGAGGTTTCCTCTTTCTTAAAGATTTCTGGTTTCCGACTGTCCAATATTAATGTTCCACTCCTAGAAGTGCATGTGCTTTCCCATCCATCTTGACTTTCTCCCCACCAGTCTCAAGCTTTTACTCAATCACATCAAACTTTAAATCAATCTTCTATGGCTCCTTATTGCTGAGCTTCCCTCACTTATTCTCCTGGAAAAAAAATAAAACATACAACAGAAACCTAGCCTGCTCTCAAAGTGATTTTTAAATTGCCTCTTCTAGAACATAATGTTGCATCAGCCATGGCAGGTAGGTGGGAGGGGGAAGTGTGGATTCCAAACTCCACCTGCCATGTTCCCTCCCCTGCTTCTTCCAAGGCCCCCAGCCCTTGTTCCAGCATGGTGAGGATTTTCTTGGCCTCAGCTGATATTAGAACACCAGCCCCATCTAAGTGGCCTTTCTGCTTCCAGCCTGGTCCTGGTCAGCCCCTATCTGTGCTGCTGCAGGATGACTCTCCTCTTGGGGCTCTGATGGCCAAGTATAAGCAACCCACAACCTTCACTGACCCCTATCGCAGCCCACGAAGTGAGGACCTAGATCCTGGGTGTGGCAGTGAAGCCCCTTTACAGGAGTCCTCTAGTCCCACATCTGCATTTTGTGTTCCTGCCTGTAGGATGAGCATCCTATGCCCTACGTCAGAGACTATGGGCTCCCCACTGGGTGTGGACTGCCAGACACATAGCATCCATGGACCTCCCACACATTCCTAGGTTCATTCTAAACACATCTTCCAAGAACCTCCAATATGCCAGGGCCTCTTCAGAGGCCAGCGTGGGGCTCAGTGGCCCTTTCTAGAAGAGGGAGCCCCTGGCCTGGCCTCCCCATTCTCCTCCTGGTCATCCAAAGAACCTCTAGCACTGTGGCCCTGCTGCATTCCGTTTTTTGGTTATAGTTTTTCTTTTCTTGTTTAAATTTTTAAAATACTTTAAAATATGGACTTACATGAAGATAGTCTCAACGTGAGAAATTACAATAACACAGAAAAAATGCAAGCTGACCCTGTTACCAACTCACTCCCCTGCCTCACATCCCTGCCCCATGGCTCTGACTTGTCTTATTTGTATGCTCAAAATCTCAAAAATAAATTATTTCCATCTTATTTCACTTTTTTTTTACAATGAAAGTTTACACTTGCACATAGTTTGAAGAATCAAGAGTTCTACACGGCTTATCATGAGGCAGCAAATTCTTCCCCTGCCATTGCCTGAATCTGTCACCACGTTCTATGGTCTCAGATGAGGTTTCTTTTCTATCTTTCTCCTTTTTTTAAGATATTTATTTCTAATTAGTATGCTTATGTTACTCCTTTTTGATTTTACATTTTAGTCATTGTCTGTGGAATTCCTAGCATGGGCAGTGAGATTTTGCTTTCTGCCCCTTCTCCACTCACCCATCCCTCCCCACACCGCCACCCACCGCCACCCAACCACACACCTTCCCAAATCTCCATGGTAATTTTGGTTATCTCAGTTAGTATTTAGTGTTTATACTCCCATCCTGGGGAGTTTATTTCAAGCATTTCTCTAAAGACTCTTTTTCCTTCATTTCTCTCTTCTCTTTTTCTAAAACTCCTTCTATTCGGACATTGGGTTGTCTCTCTTATTGTCCTCTTCTTCCTAGAAGTGTCAAGTTTTCATCCAACCCTTCTTTGGAGTTTTTTATTCATGATATCTTATTTCTGACTTCTGGGGATCGGTTCCTCCTCTGACTCTTCCGTATTTAGAGATTCTCTCTGAGGATATTACAGTAGTTTTGTATAACAGTTTTCTTCCCCCTGCACAGTATCTGCTGCCTGCAACTTGCTTTTTGTTTTCTTCCTCTTTTTGTCTTGGTTCCTCAAATGAGAGTGTTTCCTCAAATGTCTGCTGAACCAGGCCTATCACTCCCACTTGAGAATGGTTCTCTATGGAGCTGACTGGGTGGCGTCGGAGGATGGGGAGGGCATACACAGGAGGGTCCACCTCCGCCATTTTACTGGAGAACCTCTGGAGAAATTTACTGGAGAAAATTCATCAGTTTCCTTCCTGGGGGCTACTCCTGACTGCTGGGGCTTGGAAACCAAATGTGGATAGAGACTGGGGCCTAAGGAACTGGTCTGCACACTGATGTTCACCCAACCTTCCTGTTCTCTAAGATATTCCACCAAGAAAGGGCCAGAGTCCCCATTATAAAGGGCTCCCTTTTATTCTCAGAGAATACATACAACTCCAGTCTTACAGCTGAGTCGGGGCGGGCAGTCACCTCTTGGCACTGGATTGCTCAGAAAATCTGAGATCTAACTGCTCTTTTTTGGTTTTTTTTTTTTTTTTTTTTTTTTTTTTGGAGACAGAGTCTCGCTCTGCTGCCCAGGCTGAAGTGCAGTAGCGCTTATCTTGTCTCAACCTCTACCTCCCAGGTTCAAGCAAGTCTCCTGTCTCAGCCTCCCGAGTAGCTGGGATTACAGGCATGTGCCAGCACACCCGGCTAATTTTTGTATTTTTAGTAGAAACGGGGTTTCACCATGTTGGCTAGGCTGGTCTCGAACTCCTGACCTCAAATGATCTGCCTGCCTTGGCCTCCCAAAGTGCTGGGACTAGAGGCGTGAGCCACTGCGCCTGGCCCTAACTGCTTTTTTTTAAGTTAACCTTCACCCAGTGCTCCTGTCCTGAGCTCCTTTTTTGCCCTCATTTCCAGAGATATCTAGTCCTGCCAAGCCCCAAGTCTTTGAGGGGTTTTGTTTTGCAAACCAGACAGCTTCCATGCTCTCCTTTGTGCTGGTTTGGGATTTAGCTGTCTTGGATCAGCTAAATAAATCAGCAGCCTCTCCCTCATCTGTTTTCCTGCATCCAGAATGCTTTCTCCCCTCATGTTCTTTCCATCTAGTTGTGCTTGTGCCTTTAAAAACATCCTCTAGTGCTGTATCATGAAGTTTTGTGATGTGGAGGAGCCAAATGTGACTTTTAAATGTCACCCTTAACTGGAAGTTTGAATTTGAGTTTTGGTTTTCTCATTAACTACAGAAGTATTATGCAGTGTATGTGTGTGTGTGTGTGTGTGTGTGTGTGTCTGTGTGTGTGTGTTTGATCTTCGCTCTCTCATGCCTGCACACTCTCCTCAATGTCATTTTGTTATTAACTTGTCTTTTTTGCTTTAGCATTATTGACAGTGATTGGGTCTCTGATTTCATTTTTTTGAAAAAGTTTTTTTTTTTAAAGAGAAACAATGAGTGTTCTTTGTTTATGTCTTCCTCAAAGCTATGGCATTAGGAGCATAAAAGTTCACAGCTGCTGTCTTTTCTCAGTAGGTTATCTATATTAGGAATTATATCTCTCTGTTCCCCTTTTTTCTTAGCATCTTGAATCCTACTTTATTTGATGTTACTAAATTTGCTTTCTTTTTGCTCACATTTACTTGCTTACCTTTTTTTTTCCGTTCTTTTGCTTTTTAATCTTTTTGTTTATTCCTCTCTCTTTTTTAGACCCAATCTCACACTTTCTATTTTAAGGGATAGATGAATCTAACCTATTCATGTTTATTATGAGAAACAAAATGTTTGTACCTTCTTTTGCCATCTTATTTATTAGTTTTTTACTTGTCTTTCTTTCTTGTTTTTTATTTTTTTTTCCTTTCCCCCATTTTGTCCCATTTGCTCAACTGATCACATTTAATTTTTTACTTTTCCTTTGGTCTTAGGTTTCGGAAGTTATACTTTCCATGTCTATTTTGTTCCATTTCAATTCAAAGCCAAGAAACCCACAACAAATAAAGGACCGAGATAACTAGACTTAAAGTGAGTTCCCAACAGTGGAAATAGACCAGGCTGATCAACAAAGAATGTGGCAGGAGTTTTCATGACTCAACATTCCAAACACAAGCTAAAATCACTAAGGTTTAAAAAACCTGGAAGCCTCTACTTGTGAAACTGTGGGATCTGTCTGCTGGAAACCCTCAGGGACAGGTGCTGGGAAAAGCTGGAGGATCAAGGGTGCACTTCCAGGCTCTGCTGTGACATGCCTTTGCCTGGTCTTTCCATTTGAGCTTGTGCAAGCTGCTTCCTTTTTCTCCGTCTTGAACTGTCTTGTATCTATGCTTTCTGTCCTCTGCTGACCCTCCTGCCAGCAAGATGGGGAGAGGGGAAGAGATAGGGCTTTGGAGAGAGAACAAGGAATGTGGGCTGGGAGTGATTCTCCTCCTGTGTTGTGAGCTCTGCGAAGCATCAAACATGGCTGGATATCCTTCTTCCGGACAGTTACATCTGCTGGTGCAGCCCGTCCTACAGGAGAGTGCTGACCGCCTGGGCCCCCTGTCACTGAGAACAGTGAGCAGGGCATATTTTTCCAGGAACCAGATATTGAGAATTAGTCTATTACATGCCGTTCATGCAATTAAATAGAAATTTGTGAGGCTATGTTGCCAGCAGCTGTGCAAGTTTGAGATCATACTGTATAAGCTGAATGAATCAAAATTGACCGACAGTTGCCTTGAGATTGGGAACCTGGGCAGTGGGGTGCCATAGAAGCCAGGCTTTGTTGGGGGAAATGGGAAGAAGTTTTATTGTCCCAAGAGGAATTGGGAGTGAGTGCCAGCCAGACCCAGAAAGGCCACAAGAGCTCTGGGCAGATGCTGGCATCTGCTGGGAGATACTGGCCCCTCTCATGATTCAACGTGCTCCCTGGCAATAAATGCCCTGGTTCAGTTTAGATTGGGCTTGAGGGCTGCTCTTGTGTCCAGGCTTGTGACTGTGGATGTCCATGCCTCCATTTTATTAGTTGCTTCCACCAGAGGATGTGGAGGTCTGGAAAACGTGGCAGGGGAGGGAGAGGAGTGTCTGGCTCAGAAATTTCAGGAGATAGAGGTTCCTTATGGAGCTAGCTGATGGGTGAGGGCTCCCAGGGCCACTTCAAGGTTCACTATAAGGAATACGTGGGGAAGCCTGTGGCAGAGGAGGCTCTGTCCATGTGTGGCCTGGGTGGCCTCAGGGTCATGAGCACCCGGGCTCTCCCAGCATCACAAAGTCCTGTTCCGAGGAGGCAGTGCTGTGGGCTGGTACAGGAGGAGGGTGACAGTAAGGGTCCAGGCAGGGCTCTGAAAGGCTGGGAGCAACTCTGGCAACTCCGTTCACAGTAATCAGAGTGACAGATCACCAACAGGTCAGCCAGGAAAGCCAAGACACTGTTGAAGGGCCAAGGCTGGTCTACAAAACTGGGAGGCCAGAAGGAAATGACTGTGGGGAACCAGAGGTGTGGTGCCTAGCCTAGGAGTGAGCCTGAGGGGCAGTTGGTGGCCAGGTGAGGGCAGGGCTGGGTGGGCTTGTTGGCTCAGATTTGAGTATCCAGTGTGCTAGGATTTGTATCCAGTTATGTGTATGTTATACAATTTAACCCCTAGCTCATCCCTGTGATGGAGGTAATATTGTCTCCATTTTACAAATGATACAATCTAAAGTAAAAAAAAAAAAAAAATGGACTCCCCATTGTAAACAAATGTGAACCTGAAACAGCCAGTCCTTCAAGATGAGTCCCCAGGGGCTAACTGGACCTAAATTTAAAATCGGGCCAAGTGGACATTGGCTGAGTAGGGATCACACATGTACTCTGCCTTCCCCCAAAGACCAGACTCCTGTTTAATTCTGGAACTTTCAGATCTCACCTGAACCAACCAATCAGAGTTCTCCTGAACCAACCCATCAGAACTCACTTTCCAGAGCTCAGCTGTATCATCCCTCAGAACTAAATAAGTCCAAATCCTTCATTTGCATAAACAGACCTGACTGGGAACCTGGGCTGGCACGTTTGCTATAAAACCCTCCTTTATGTTCTCTGGAACACACCTTCACCTTTTGCATGGAAGCTGTGTCTCCCCAGTTTGCAAACTGTTCACTGGAATAAAGTCTCTTTCCTCCATATTCCGTTTCAGAAAACTTTTGTTCACACTGCACAGCTAGCATGCTAGGTCTCATTCAGATCTAGCTGACTCCAGAGTTCCTATCTGGCTCACTTAACTACTTAGAGTTCTCCTTTCTCATACAATCAAGGAGGCTGGACAACATCAGGGTTTTCTGAATCCACCTTCATGATTTTTGTCATACTCACATTTCATCTGTGCTATTATTTGTGTAAAAGTTTTCCTGAAGCAGTCTTACTTCTAATTAATTTATTTTTATTGTGGTAATGTATGTGTAACACAAAGTCTACTATTTGAACCACTTTTAAATATATAGGTAAGTGCCATTAAGTGCATTCACGTTGCTGTGAAACACTTTTGGTTTTAACGTCAATATACGGTATTTTAGAAAGGAAAACTTGGTATCTCTATCACAAGCGGGAACTTTCCATAGAGGTAGCTATTGGAATGGACAGAACGAAGACAGAAAGTTATTCATGAGCAGCCAGTTCCTGTTGCACTGAAAGCTCTAAGTAAGATGAGGCCTGTTCCCTTTTCACCCCTGTGCCCCCATATTTTGTTTAAAAGGAGGATCCAAGTGTTTGAGAAGTGTCAAAGGTAGGCTCACAGGGTTGACACTTCATCCTTGACATGCTTAGAAGAACTGAAAGAGGAAAGGGACATTTTCTCATGCCCAGCTCCCCCTTCACCCCTTGCCCATCCCAGAGTCCCCTCTCTGCCCCCAAGCTGTGGGGATGGCTGGGATGTGAACCAGGTCCCTTCCCAGCAAGATTCCGTGACCTGTGACACCGAACAGGGGATCTGCCCTCTCTGACTTGGACCCATGACTAGAAGCAGCTTTTCGGACAAGTCCTTTAAGGTCCCTTCCTGTTTTATCCCCAAGAGATACCCTTTCTCTCTCTGAAACCCATCACAGGGACTGGATTGCCCAAGTGCTTCTGGCCCAGGTGTCTTGGATGGCAGCACACAGAGTACCTCATTATGACGTTTGCATGGGCCGCTGTGACGAGGCTATACTGTGATGGGCGAGGCTACTAGCTGCTCTGAGGGAGTAAACTTAGTGCAATTTGGATGAAAGGCAGATATTTAAAGCACCTTCTTAAAATGTGGGTCACACAGTGCTGGACACAGAAACCCTATGCAGGATGGGTGCAAGGGCTTCAGAGTGAGCCAGGTTTCAGTTTGAGGCTAGATGTGTCTGGTGACCCATTTTCCTGCAAGATACAAGTAATGAAATGTGTGCATGTATGTCCTTCTTGGAAGCATGAAGGGGCCAAAAAGAACATGGAAGACGTTGTTTTCTTAAGTTGGACAAGGACATTCTCTATCAACATTTTAAGGAAACATTTTCATTGCAGAAGTTGTGGACATGTTCCAGTAAAACAGGCTGTGATACCAGGAACATGGGGGATAAGAATGAAAATTACTTTGGAAATCCTGGCAAAACATCACTGTGATGGAGTCAGTGGCTCTGTGCCTTCCTCCCTTCTCCTGGGCATGGTCTTCCCTCTTGTGGAGCCCTGCCACGATGCCCACGGCACACCGGACATGCACTTCTCACCTGGGGCTTGATCTCATCTTTGTCCTTGTAGTAGAAAAGCTGATCCCCACGCAGCACAAACCAGCGCTGCTGCCAGTTCTTCATGATGCTCCTCTGCTTCTTCAGCCAGCCCGCCTTCAGCACGGGGCCCAGCCTGTGAGGGCACGGCATCCGCCCAGGGCTCCGGCTCTGCTCCCCCATCACTAGGCTTTTGGAGCGGGCTGAAAGCCAAGGACACACAGAGTGAGCATGAAGGCAGCGTGCCTGCTATCAGTCCTGCCCCCATCCTGGTGTCCCAGCTGCCTCGTGACTGAGGCATGGGAGCCCAGGCCAGCAGGATGTGAGCAGCTGGGCCTACTTCCCCTTGGCATTGAAGGGGCATGGGTTGGAGCATCTGTGCAGCAGCCTGCAGTGATCCCCCTGGGGTAGGGGTACAGCCTGCCCACCTGGTTAGTTTCTGCTCTGTCTCTGGGATCCTAGGTTCTTCATTCCTCCACATTTGTTCATCCATGCATCCATGTATCCAACCATGCATCCATCCATGCATCCACCTGTTCATCCACGGATTCATCCATCCACCTGTTCATTTGTTCAACGATTCATTTATTCATTCAGCCATTGCTTATTGATTTCTTACTATGTGCATAGAACCGTTCTAGTTTTCCAGGGGACAAAGTAGTGAAATAAAAAACAGATAAACATCTGGATCCTCCTGGAGCTCACAGTCTAGCAGGGTTCCTGTTGCTCAGGTCCAGAAGGAACTGGCCCCACCCAGATCTGGTTTCTGCTTAGCCCCTCTACTCTGGAGGCATCCGAGCCCCCAAAGCCTTTGTATTTGTTCCCTGGGAACATCCCACAGCGGGGCTTCTTCTTCAGCTGTTTGCTGTGCCTTGTTGGTGGCTTCCTGGCAGGGCAGAGGGGCCAGCACTCCTACCCCAGAGCCTCTGAGTGCCCGTGAGCCCTGCAGGTCCTTATTCTGGTTGATGGTGCTGAGCCACACCCCACCGAGGTTGGTGCTGCCCTTCACAGGGATGACTGAATTCTTGTCCCCTCTGCCCCTACTCCTTCCCCTTCTGTCCCCCTCCTTCATTCTCCTCTGTCCCCAGGGAAGCTCCTCTCCTCTCTCTGGCCAGTGTCAAGGCCATTGCCACAGTGATCACTAGGAGGGGCCATCTTGAACTCTGGAGAAATAATTCTGAGTTCAAATGTAATCACACCTGTAATTCTTAGGCCATGGATCCTAACTTGTGATTGGAAAGCACAGTGCCTGTGACCTACAATTCTTGCACTGTATCTGTGATTCTGTGTGTGTGGGTGTAAGCTCTTCCCACTACACTAGTGACTGCAGTTCTCTAAGCCTGGCCTACTTCTGCCCATGTGGTCCCACTAGCCTGGACTTTTCTTCCATCCCTCTTCCATCCATACCCTGGCATTAGCTGCATGGTGAGCTCCTATATATCCTTCAAGAGCCAACTCAAAGGACACTTCCTCCATGGAGGCTTCCTTCTGAATCTCCTCCAAATAGTCACTCCCTCCCCTACCAGGACAGGTGGCCCATGGCTGGTGATTATCTGTGTGGTTGTCTTTCTGCCACTCTGGACTGAAGGGTGGGGACTGGAGGAGATGATGTCTTACCCACTTCTACATGCGTGTCCTCGTTACTGTGGGGGGCAAGGAACAGACGTAAGTCATGGTGGTCAAATATCACTGGATACTTAGGGTCACCCTTATTGTTAGGTATTTTTTGTATCTTAACATGACAGTAAATATTACATAGTACTGGCTGGGCGCGGTGGCTCACGCCTGTAATCCCAGCACTTTGGGAGGCCAAGGCGGGCGGATCACGAGGTCAGGAGATTGAGACCGTCTTGGCTAACACGGCGAAACCCTGTCTCTACTAAAAATACAAAAAATTAGCTGGGCATGGTTGCAGGAGCCTGTAGTCCCAGCTACTCGGGAGGCTGAGGCAGGAGAATGGCCTGAATCCGGGAGGCGGAGCTTGCAGTGAGCTGAGATTGCGCCACTGCACTCCAGCCTGGGCAACAGAGCAAGACTCAGTCTCAAAAAAAAAAAAAAAATTACATAGCACTCAGGCACTGTCTGAGGACACATTATAGCTTGGTGTGTTGGGAGAAAAGCTGAGTGTTGAGAGAGAAGCTGAGGCAGGGCTTGGAACATGTCCAGGGTCCAGGGACTAAAACCCCTCGTGGACTTTGCAATGTGTCTAGACTTGCTGGCTCCTTGCTTCTAGCACTCCCATTATCTCAAGTAGCCATATGTTTCAAAGAAAATGCTAAACCATCACAGCTGTAGCACATTTGCTTGATACACTGCTTCCTTTCAACCTCCACATCCTCACCACCTGTTTTTTTGTTTGATCACCAATAAATGGTGTGGGCTCCCAGAGCTCCGGGCCTTCACGGCCTCCATACTAACATTGGCCCCCTGATCCCACTTTCTCTCTTAACTTGTCTTTTCTCATTCCTTTGACTCTGCTGGACTTCATCGCTCCCACAGCCTGGTATTGGGTCCAATCACTCCAACACTGATGTTCACACCTTCACCTCAACTGTCATATGGCCTGGGGTATAATACTGAATCTATCACTTTTACACAGGCCCCTGCTCTGGAAGGGGTTGTCCCCTCCAGACAGGCTGCTGCTCATGGACAACAGCAGCATTCACAGGAGGCCTCATCTCTTCTCTCTGGCACCCAAGCAGCTGTGATAGATCTATGGGTACCACTAGCCACCCTGGTGTCAGACTGTCTAGGTCCTCACCCGCTCCACCTTGATTCTCTGTTGCTGTCCCTCTGCTGCTGGAGAGGTTGGGGTTGAATGCTCTAGCCTTGCCTTGGCTGTGTTTTGGCCCAGAGAGGAAGTGGGTTGTTTGCATGCTTGCCCCTGAACACTGAAGCTGGATTGGTGATTCCTCAGGACAGTGGGTTTTTTCCAGAGACTAACGGGAAGGCAAATCAGGGAGCTGAGTGTGGATCACATGGCCCAGGACTTTCAAGGAAAACAGCCCCCTCTGAAGCCCAACAGCGCCCTGAAACTGGGCTTGAGCTTCACCTTATCTGTGTTTCAGAATGATCGGCACTTTTTTTCCCTCCTCTCTGTGGGGTTGGTCCCTGCACTTGTTCATGTGGATTTAGAGTGTGCTTCCCTCCTTTATATCTATGGCTGGTTATTATCCCTGCAAATGGACACACCGTACATTGCTTTTAGATTCTCACATTGATGGGTATTGGCACTCTCCTTAATGTGAGTTATTTAATTAAAAAGACGTTGGGACCCAACTGAAGAAATACAGGCTTTGGACTAAGGTTTGAGTTTGCATCACTGCCAGCTCTGTGAACTCTCTGTGCCTCAGTTTGCCAGTCAGAAAACTGGGCCCATATGAGATAACAACACCTCACCCAGCAGGGCAAGCTGGCAGAGGGGAGACAGCATAACTGCAGAGTGCTTAGACGTACAGGTGCCTAGTAATGGGTTACTATGGTGATAAGGATTAGGATAATGGAGATGGCGCAGTGGATGTCTCCATGCAGAATTTGTTTCCTAAAGCTGGGCTCCCAGCAGTGAGGTCACAGGGCAGAGAATGGACCACTCTCTGGCCCCTGGCCCTTTAAATGTCACTATACACTGCCTTCTAGAGATGGCATTTGGCTGTATTACACCAAACAATTATGCCAATGTGCCACTTTCCCCATCACTACCAACATAAAATAGTATAATTTGAGCGTTCCTACTCCATAATTTAGTAGGTATAAAATGGCACGTAGTTATTGTCTTAGCTGTTCTGATTTTGGGTGATTAATCAACTGGAACATCTTTGCACGGGCTTCTACCAATTGTATGAGACGTCTGCTCGCTCCATTTGCCCATTTAGCTGATTGCCCACAGCAGGAGGAGCACTGAGTCAAACTCAGTGGCATACAATCCTGGAGTCCTGGAGACCCAGAGCTACTGGGCCCCCTTTCCCTCTCCATAGGAGCCCCAGACCTTCCCTGCAAGTCTTCCTACAGCCTGGAATTTCCAGACACCTGTATTTCCAGACACCTGTAGCACCCTATCCCGCATCTGTGCTGCACAGCCCTGGCTGCTCTGCAACCTCAGCAGCCCCGTGTGGAGGACACAGACTTGGAAGAAACCACCCTGCCCAGATAAGGGTGAGCCGAGCCTCTGATAAGACAGGTGGGGTTGTGCCAGAAGAGACCCAAAGCATCAGAAGGGGCCTTTCTGCTCCAGGGCTGCTGCCTCCCCTTCTCCATCTCAAGCCAGCAAGGGGTTGAGCAGGGCTGGATTCAGCAGCACTCACCAGTCCCTTTCCAGGGTTGGGGCTGCATCAGGCCCTGGGAGGTGGAGCTGACAAGTGTTATCAGGACCCCTGGGCTCGAGAGGAGTCTGGCAGGGGACTAAGGAGGACAGGGAGAGGTGTGCCCCTTTGATTACTGAGTTTTCTTATCTGGGTCTCAACTTGCTCATCTCTAAAATTCCTTCAATGGGTTGAGAATTGCTAGTCAAATTAGGTCACCAGTGCCTGGGCTTTTTTTTGTTTAATCAAGTGAGATTCCTACCATGAGACTTGGCAGATGTTGTTTCCCCTGGCAGTGAGGAGTCTCTGGAGCTGATGGGTTGGCTTAGGTCTCCACTGTCTATTCTTGAATTCTCCTTTATCTCTTATCAGAGAATCTTCAAGGGCTATGGAGAACATTTTGTCCTTCCACAGATGTTTGCAGAGTACTCTTTGGGGTCTTTAGTGGGGACTGAAGTCATGGAATGTTCTAGAGCTACATCCCTGATTCTGTCTCTTGTCTTCTATTACAACAAGGCCTGAAGCTGGTTCATTAAATGCACTTGCTCTTCTTTCCACATCCCCCATAGCATCCTGTGCAGGGCTGGTGCACATTAGGAGCTCAACAAAAACTCGGTAACTCATCAGCACAGTCCAGCTCCTCTGAGCACTGCTGCACCCTCTGTCCCAGCGGTGGACAATGTCTGTGAGGTGCTCTCTGTCCAGGCATGCCTGCCCCAAGAAGGGTGAGCTCCCTGTGCATAGGACCATGGATGCTGAGCCTGGCTGAGAGCAGGATCTTGCACAATCAATACATGGCTGACTGTGGGACTGGCCTGTAGTCAATGTGGCAAGACAAAGAAGGTGGGCACATTCTGTGCCCTGATGCCCAAGGCCCAGGCATCAGGCCTCCTGAGAGCTTCACGTAAGGAGGGAGCAGGTATGGGGGGCCATGTTCACTGGGGCAAGGGTAGGCAGGAAGCTCTGGGTGGTCTCTACTTCAGTAGATGTAGGCATCCCCGAGGGTTCCACCTGCCCCACCCTGCAGGATAGGAAAGGCTGGCTCCAGTCCCTCTGACAAGGAAGCACTTCCTGCAGATGCTACTGAAGCTGCAAAACCAGCCTAGGATTTTCCCCAGCTGATCAATCACACACATATTAGGCTGATGGAGCTTCTTGAAAGGAAAATAATCATTGCTATGATTTATTAATAACTGCTGTTCCGGTCTTCAGCACTTCCTTTAATCAATTTATTTGGTCCTGTTAATATTTAAACCAGGCCTCAAGTCAAACAGCTCTGGCATTCTAAGTCTCCAGAACAGATCAGAGTTTCTGGAGGGTCCCCAGGAGCAGGCCCAGGCAAGCTCAGGGCCCAGAGAGGAGGAAGGTGCCCTTCACCCTCCACCCTTCCCAAAGGTGGCTCTTCCATGCACACGCAGGACCATCCATTCACTCATCCATTTATTCCAAATCTATGGAGCTCCTCCAGGTACAGAGCCCAATTGACTTGATGGTGTTCCCTGTGGGGTCCCGCAGTCTGGCAGGGGAAGTAAATCACAACCACCACGGAGGGATGAAAGAGCACAGGCCTTGTGGGGCAGGCAAAGGCTGTGGATGCTGACCCTGAGGTGCCGACCTTTCTGCTATAGACCTCTGCTGAGGTCCCTCCACCCCGTGGAGGGAGGCCCCAGGCCAGGCCTCGAAGGATACTAGAGTGTGGGATGACCTCAGGGGAGGTGGGGCTCAGGCTTGGGAGGAAGAAGCTAGCCTGGCACTTGCAATCTTTTGGCTCACATGACTGCGTGTGCCGAGGGGCCGCTGTCACCTACTCTTGCTGACAGGCACATCTTGAGAGGGTGGCCCACATACCTGCCTCTCCTTCCTCACCCCCCAGTCCCCACCAACTCCTTGCATTTAGAGATTTTGGCCTCTCCTGATATTGCTCTGACCAAATCCAACCTGAATTGGATCTCAGGGTCTCATCCTCCGATGCCCTGTGGTGGCTCAGACACTATTAATCACCCTCTGCTTCTGGAAGCTCTTCCTTCCTTCCCCTCTGCAGAGCCCAAATACCAGCGTTTTTGCTCAAGTTTCTTTCCGCTTCCCCAGCCTGCTTCTGGCTTCAACTTCCTCCATCCTCCCAAATCCTGCTGTTGCCCAGGGTTGTCCCAGCTGTCTCTATTTCATTATGAATCCCAGGGCGTTATTTCTGCCCGGATCTTACTCAGGAGCTTCAGACTCATGTGTCAAACCATCTGCAGGACACTCCAGAGAAATGTCTCATGGTTATCTGGGCCTATGTCCAAATTCAACATGTCTCTCCCCAACCCACTTCTCCTCCCCATTCTCATCCAGGGCTCCATGACCAAGCAGACTTAACAGCTTGGACTTGTTCAGACAAATCCCTCCCCGTCAAGTCCTACAGTCCCTTAGTTTCCAAATCTGAAGATTCTCTCAGTGCATTCTGCCTTCTTTTCATCTCCCCTTTACTGAACTGATTTGTATATAGCCATCCCTTGCCTGGGCTACTTCCTGACTCTTAGCTCCTGCCTTCCACAAGATTCTCCAAAATAGATATGCAGCTACTAAGGGAGCTACACACAGATCTTCCTACACACAGTTCTAAAAAATCTTACTCTTTTCACAGAAGTAGTTATGGTATTTACTACACACAGAGGAAAATCCAGCCCCAGCCTGGCAATCGCTACCCTTCCACAGCACAGGATTTTCCTGTGTGTAGCTCCCTCCACACTGCACCCCACGGGCATGTACAATTATTATGTGTCAATTATAAACAAAATTTTCAAAAGCAGGTAAACCACGCCAAGGGAAGAGAGTTAAGGTCGCAGTGTCATGGGTGGAGGGGTGAGGGTACACAAGGGCCACTTTACAGAGAGAGGGTAGGGGTGACAGGAGGGGGAGTACAGCAAAGAAGCCTAGAGAACTCTTTCAGGAATGTTCCCTGCAAGCAGGAGAGAAGAGGGGAGAGTGGTATGGAGGGGCAGGGTGCCCCTTGCTAGAACGGGAGGGACCCGAGCCGGTTTAAGTGCATTTGGACTGGCAGATGTGGAGGCTGTGGGTGAGGGTCAGGTAGGGTGATGAGTCAAGAGGGAGCTTCCTGGGAGGTGACAGGATGTGGAGCCTGAGCTCAGGGGGTCAGAGGTTAGCATGAGATGGCAAGACACTGTCCTCGGTTGTGGTGGGGGCAAGGAGGTGCCCTGTAGCAAGAATGAGGCCTTCCTCTGCTCGGAAGTGCCCCACCAGCTGAGGCCCTACCTGCTGGGATTGGAGAGTCTACCTGTTCCCCATAGCCCTCCTTGTGCTCATTCTGACAACGTCCCCATCCCATGCCTCTATATTGCTGCAGCCCTGAGCTGCATTTGTGCCAGGGTGCCCATAAACCCTTGAGTGGCCTGGTCAGGACTACAGGTCGCGCTGTGCCGGGCCATCTGGCCTGTGAGGGAGGACGTGGGCTGCACGCCTTCCCAGTCACTGAGGATGGTAAACTTGGCGCTTGCTCTATGACTCTGGCCTGGCCGTCCTGGGGACTCTGGAGGTGGTCATGGGGGTATTGCTTCCTCTTGGGGTGAGATGAGAGAAAGAAGAAATTCAGCGCATGGGCAGGGTAGGGCTGGGGTGGGTGGGCAGTGGAAGGGATGGACGTTCACAAGAGCCTGTGACTGCCAGAGCTAGGGCCCGGCAGTGAATAATTTCACTTATTTCTCAGCGCAACCCTGATTTCTCAGATGTTCGAATTGAGGCTCAGAGGAGAGAAGAGCTTCCTCAAGGTCACACAACATTGCTCTTATGTGGCAGAGCCGGGATTCAAGCCCTGGCTGGTCTTGCTCACTATGGACACTACAGTTCTGAGACTGCAAATGGAGCCTGAGTAGCCCTTAAGTGCTTCAGCTCAGAGCCTCCAGAGAGGAGGAGCGCCAGGCTAAGAGGGAGGGTGACTGCGAGCCCGCAGACTCAAAAAGAAATGAAGCCTGAGATGAAAACACGTTAACACAAACACAAGAGGTCAAAACCCTGGGTGTAGGCAAATGGAATTCAAGTACCCAAAGGTTCATTCATCGTTAGAGGAGAGCAGAAGGACTGTGCAACGCGAAGTCACCCCGAGGCACAGGGCCAGCAGAGGAGGAACCATTTCACGCCATTTTCTCATCCAGGAGGGATCCTTCATTTCTCAGAATTGAATAAATTAAAGAAGTGAATATGCAATGGGAGAGAGAGGAAATACTAATAACTACCAGCATGTATGGGTATGCTGAACTTCAGCAGTGAGAGGGGAAATGCAGACTACAGCCATAAGATACCGCACTGTGTACCATTTAGATAGGTACTTTTTTTTTAAAGTTTGGCGATATCACATGTTGGCGAGGCTGTGAGTAATCCTAAGTCACATATAGAGAGTAATTGGGCTGTATTCATTAAAATTAAAAACGTGCATCCTGGGCAACATGGCGAAACCTCATATCTACAAAAAATACAAAAATTTGCTGGGCATGGTGGTGTGCCCCTGTGGTCCCAGCTATTCAGGAGGCTGAGGTGGGAGGATTCCTTGAGCCTGGGAGGCAGAGGTTGCAGTGAGTCGAGATTGCATCACTGCACTCCAGCTTGGACAATAGAGCAAGACCCTGTCTAAAAAAAACCCCAAAACAACAACAACAACAACAAAACATGCATGCTCTGCAATCTAACAATTGTGCTGCTCACCTCTGTCCTGCAGAGAGAACTACAAATGCATGGGTAGTCACAATCAAGCATGCCCATTGATATCTAAAAATGTAAAAACCTGAGTGCCCGTTAGTAAGAAAATGGACAAACTGTGCTATATTCACATTAGAAAAGACTTGAAAAGAATGAGATCAAAATATACAAGCTAACATGGTTAGCTTCTCTTTTATCCAGCACCTCACTGTCTTCAATCCTTGTCTCCAATTCCTGCCTTGTTTTCTCTCACTCTCTCTTTTAGACAGAGTCTCACCACTACATTGCCTAGGCTAGACTCGAACTCCTGGGCTCAAGCAATCCTCAGCTTCCCAAGTGGTGGGGCTACGGGTATCTGTCACCGCACCTGGCTTCTGTTCTCTGTTAAGCTTCAGTCAGGCTTCCCCAACATCCGTCCCACCAGAACTGCTCTTACCACGTTGGCAATGACTCTCACATTGTTCAACCCAAGCGTCCAGTCAGTCCTCCCATTCTTTGGCCCTTTGGCTACACTTGATTGTGAGGCTGATCCATCCCAGTCCCAGGACCACTTTGTACTCCTGGGTTCCAAGATTATACTCCCCCGCTTCTCCCCTCCCTCACCGGCTGTCACTCCCATCTCCCCGTCTTCCTGACCTCTCAGTGCTGAGTGTGCAGGGCTAGTCCTTGGCCCCCATGTCTGTCTATATCTCTGCCTCATGGGTTTGGACACCATCCATGCACAGAAGGCCCTCATGTGGCTCAACCCTGGCCTTGACCCTGCCAATGCTGCATGTCCAAAGCAGAACTCCTGGTCTTTCCCTGCCCCAGAACCCACTCCTCCCAGGGTTCCCCCATCTCAGCCAGTGGATACCCCATCCTCAGATATTCCCTGCTCCCAGCTGCTTTGTTTCTCACCCGAGTTACTGCTGCAGCCTCTTCAAAAGAGGGCAGCCAGCAAGAGTTCTTAAATGTGGGACTTAGATCACATTGCGCCCTGTGAAAACCCTGCAGGTTCCTGAGCTCGCTCAGAGCAACAGTCAGATCTGACACTATGGCCTATGAGGGTCCTGGGGACCGGCCACACGGCCTCTCGGCCTCCTTTATCCTCTCTTGTCCTGGCCGCACTGTCTCCTGCTGTTCCTACAGACATGTGCCCAGCATCTGGCTCTACACCTGCCATATGCCCTCTGCTCTCTGGGCCCTCCCGGATGCCCTAGGGTTCCTCTCTCAGCCCCTTCACTCTTTACTGAAACATTACTTTTTCAACGACACCTCTCTTATCACTCTTTAGAAACTGCTTCCCCCACTGCTCCATTTCTCCTTCCTGCTTTACCTCAACATTTACTTCAATTATATTATAGAAGTGGAAGAAAGTAAGTTGCAGAACAATTTACAAAATATAAAACTACAGTAGTCTCCCCTTATTCAAGCCAGGGATATATTCTTAGACCCCCAGTGGATGTTCCCAGACCCCTGAGGATGCCTGAAACTGCAGGTAGTACTGAACCCTGTATACAGTTTTTCCTATACATACATATCTATGACAAAGTTTAATTACTAAATTGGCACCACACTTTTGTGCTCTGGAGCCATTATTAAGTAAAGTAAGGGTTACTGGAAGACAAACACTGTGATACAGCGACAGTGCATCTGACAGCTGAGATGGCTACTAAGTGACCACAGGCAGGTAGCTTAGACAGTGTGAAGATGCTGGACAAAGAGAGGATTCATGTGCTGGGCAAGATAGAGTGGGACACCACGCTACTCAGAACAGCATACAATTTAAAACTTATGAATCGTTTATTTCTGGACTGTGGGTGTCCATGGGTAACTGAAACTGCAAACACGATACTGTGGATATGGGGAACCACTTTATATAAAAAGGAAAGAAAAACAAAAATCCTAAACAAAAGACATTGCAATGTATTCTCAGCGGGTGCTCGTGTTTGTACACAGTTAGGTCTGGAAGGAACATATCCCACCTAGAATGGTGATAATGTTCCTAAAGGGAAGCCCGGAGCTGTTATATTGTACATTTCATGAAGGGAATGAATTTTTTTATTATATAAATTACAATTAAAAGTTTTAAATGAAAGAGCTCTTTTGGAGTGGAGCTGGATCCCCTTACAGGAGTTCTAAAATAGCAATTAAAGGATCATTATTTGATACATGCTTATGAGTATTTATCTGAGACAAGCATCACACTAGGCTCTGGACCACAGCAAGCAAGAAGGTCAGAGCCTCTGCCTGCATGGAGCTCCCAAGCTAGTGGGAGAGACTAACACCGATCAGCCCACAACGAACAGGCCAGGATGCTGGTGGAAGCCTGGACCAAGCCTATCTGTGGTCCTCCCATGGGACCACCATCAGGGAACTGTGAGTGAGCACACTGGTCCCTCTCTGCAGGTGAGCTGCTTGGGTGAGCCTGGGACTCCAGCCTGCCTCCTCCACCCCGTCTCTCTCTTGCCAACCAGGGGCTCAGTGAGGGTGTGTGGATCACTCATGGGCCGAGCCCTGCACTGACAAGAGCACCTGGCAGCTGCCAAAGCTCAGACATTGCTCTCTGAGATCATATGGATCATGATGGAGCTCTGCCCAAATTCTCTTGAATCCCTTTTCCTGTGTCTATTTCCCTCCCCACCCCCAAATGTGCTGTCCTTCCAACAGTCTTCCCAGGGGTGGGTGGTGGTTTCTCAGGATTGCTGACAGGTTTTGGAAGACCGGCCTTGGGCTACTGGAGCCTGTTTTGCCCATGTACTGGGAAGACTGGGAGTGCCTAGGAGTTTATATCATCCACCCCTCGCCCAACTTAGGAGCTTAAAAACCTCTAACCAACCTTATTTCTAGCTAGGTACAGGGGTGTACTTCACTCTTCAGTTGGGGGCTCAGGCTGAGACCTCCCTTTCCTGTTACATCTGAAAGGGTAACAGGACTTTGCTCATGTCCTGCTTTCGGATCCCCCTCCCCCTCCCCCCCAACTGTGTCCCCTGAGGGTCTCGTTAATAGATTACTGCATGTGAATCCTTATCTCAGGGTCTGCTTTGGTTTGGAGATCCCCACTGAACATATTCATTGTTTTCAGGACCTTTTGAATAGACTGTGGCAGCCTTTGAATAGACTTGTGCCTTTGAGCAGCTGCTGGGCTCTCAGCTCTGGAGATACTCCCTGGGGTGAGGCACCCTGCCGTGGGCCAGGGATGTTTCCTATCTGCAGCTCTGTGAGTGCAGCCCCTAGAGCATGGAGAAGTGGCTGTAGGACAAGAGAGCTAAAACACAATTGATTTATAGAAGTCAATGAGATTTTAAAGCCGGGCTGGGAAAAGAGCAAAATGGATCTCAGAGCTGAATTGATTTAAAGGGTAAGTATTGAGCCAAAAGATTGATTGAGGAGAGAGAGATGGGGTATTGGAAGGGCACTCTGGAGGGGCCGGGAAGAGATGGTTTCATCAAGTTAATGCAATTTGCTGCCAAGGGCAAAGGGGACCTCCTTCCGGGTCCCACACCGTCCTGGGAATTGTGCACAAGCATCAGATGATTTATTACCTAATGGTTCTTGAGTGCCCCTACTTTTAAAAACTTGTTTATATATATGTGTATAGTTTTATTTGTTTATTTTTTTTTGAGATAGAGTCTTGCTGTATCACCTAGGCTGGAGTGCAGTGGCATGATCATAGCTCACTGCAGGCTCAAACTCTTAGGTTCAGATGATTCTCCCACCTCAGCCTTCTGAGTAGCTGAGATTACAGGTGTGTATGACTATGCCTGGCTAATTTTTTTTTTGTAAAGATGGGGTCTTGCTATGTTGCCCAGGCTGGTCTCAACCTCCTGGCCTCAAGTAATCCTCCTGCCTCGGCTTCTGGAATTACAGGCATGAGCTACTACACCCAGCTTAATTTGTGACTTGCATTCTTCCTGGCCCTAATTGGCCACCTGTTTGTTCCTAGGTTTCCATCTAAGGGGATCTAGAGAATGAGCCAGGCCCTCCTAATGAGCCTCGCCTCGGCATGAAGAACTAGAGCCAATAAGGTGCACAGCCTATCCATTCCTGCCCCCAGGAGTGAAAATATTAATTTTTAAGTAGTGATTAGGTAGATTAGAGAGTTTGGATTTTTTTTTCATAGTGAATACTTTAATGATTTAACAATCAATATAAAAGATTGCATTCTTGAAAGTTATTTTAATCAATGCTTCCTGGGTCTGCCTCCTGGCTCAGCTGAGGCTGGTATTCAGCAAGGGCAGTGGGAAGCCGGGAGACACCCGAAGTGTTTGCTCTTTACTTCCATGCAGGATGCAGCCCTAGATTCAAGCGGATCTGGTGTTCATTTATCCATTCTTGAGATTATGGGGCCTCCCGTATGCCCACCTGTGAGAGCCACTGCATATGGAGACGCAAGACACACACCTGCCCTGGCAGAGCTAACGGGGGACAGATGCCCCAACACCAGATCTTGCTGTCATCTATAAAGGGAGAGGGGAGTGTGAAGGCAGCAGCAGTGAGACAGTCGGGCTTGGGGTGGGGCTGGCTGGAGGGGGCAGGGAGCCGGGGTGAGGTGAGGAGGGATGAATGAATGAGGTGAGCCTCACTGAGAGGTGGAGTGTGCCCAGCACGGGAACAGGAAGATGCAGAAAGTGAGAGGGTGAGTCCAGACCAGGAAGTATGGCTCCACTTCCAGGCTTTTCACCCTGACTCTCATAGGACCCACATTCCTGTCTTAGGAGAGACCATACCCTAAGCCCTTGCCAGACTAATGAAAACCCACCCTCTGAGAAAAAGCAGCCTGTTGGACCTCTTCCAACTTCTGCCTTCAACCCATTCTGGTGTCTCTCTCGTGGCTCCTTGGAAGAGACCGTGCCCCCTTTACAGGGTGTAGACAGTTTTCGCTACAGCCTTAGCCATCAGAGACATGGGTCTGATGTGGCTGTGATGTGGAGGGCCTCTGTGAGCTGGTGCCCAGCTTCCTCCCTCTCACACCACACACCTGGGTCTCTCCAAGCTGACAGGTCCCGCATGGGCCATTGTGCCACACCTCCACCCCTGTATGTCTGCCTTTCCCTTTCCCTGGACTCATGACTCTGCTGGTGAATCCTGACTCACTTTTGAAGCATCAGTGTCAGTGCAATTACTTCCTAAGGTATGAAGACCCCTCTGGTAGGCTCTCAACGCAGAATGATTGACTTCCATCCCTTATGCTGCCCCTGGGACCTTGCTGACACCTCTGGCTGGACATGCACCTCTCCTTCATAAACATGTGTCTCATGTCTGCGAATGTGAGGCAGGAATCCTCAAGTTTGAAGAGGATGGGAACTCATCAAATCCAAGAGACTTTGTGCCTCTGTAGATGATCTGCTTGGGTTGGAAGAAATCTGCCAACAGGATTCTCCTACCCACGGCCTGTTTCCACACATGAAAAGCTAAAGGGCATGAGATTACTGATTCTCTGCCCATAATCAGAGAAGCAGCAAGCAGGAGAGTGGAAAAGTGAAACTGTAGCTTAGCAGTGGGTGAGGAGAGGCAGTGGGAGGTCATGGAAGATGCACAGGATTCTGAGTCCCGAGGCCCTTTAGCCTCTTAGAGCCTCAGGTTTCTGTCTATAAATGGGGGCCAGATACGGATCCTGCTGCTTCCTAGACTGTGGTGAGGATGAAATCAATGGGCAATTTTCTTTGAGAGCAGTTAAGTGCTGAGTGAACAGTGTAGGCCCTGTTTCTTGCTCCCGCAGGCTGTGCCCCTTGGAAGCCTCTCTCCTCTCTTCTGGACTTTGTTCAGGGGCTGATGGCCCAGGACCCCAGGTGCTTGCTGTTTCTGCTCTGTTCAGATAAGCAGGCCATTCACCAAGAGCCTGGGATCGGTAAAATCAATATAATTCCATGTCGATTATAAATTTCATTTTCTGCCTGCCTATGAGCCATTAGCTTAGATCAATATATTCTCTACCCTTGGTTAAGTAATCACTGGGGCTGGTGAGGATTTCAGCAGAGTCAGGGCAGGATCCTGACTACCTTGCTGCCTTGGATAGTGGAGTCCAAGGTGGCCTCCTGGCCCACGCCTAACTCAGTTCAGGCCTGTCTTGCAAATAAATCATTTATCCCCTCCTTCAAACAATAAGGTCATGGCCAGTTCTCCAGCTGTCTGGGGCTACAAGACCAGCTTGGAGCTGCTCCAGCCCAGCACCTAGCAGCACTGTGTGTTCTGAGTGTCTAAGAGCACTGGTCAGGTGGGGGCACTTATGGATGTCTAACATCTTCCGTGGGAAGAGAAACTCTGTTTTCCCATCAGTTGGTTGGAGTTATCTGGGAAGAAGGAGAACATGAGGGTTGGTGGGGGAAGAGGCTTGAGTTTGCAGCGCCCCTCTTCTGGGTACAAACAGCCACCTTCATCTCCTGGCATGAACCTCAGGCAGCAACAGATGGACTGGTGGCCTAAGGGCTGGGTGGAGGGTGGTGGCTGGGAGTGTTTGTTCTCAGCTTGTGGTGCTGAAACACTCTGGTACTTACAAACTCTGCAGGGCGGGGAGGTGCCAGCTGCTGCCCAGCACACAGCTGGCACTGGGGGAAGAGTGTCTGGAAGCAGAGGAACCCAGCTCTCCATAGATCTGTTTCAACAAAGGCCCCTGTGTCTCCCTCTCCTTCTCTGCAGGTGGCAGACGGGAAACACCATTGCTCCCACTAGCATTTACCCTCTCTCCCTGCCCTCAGGGCCACTCCCTGCGCACCTGCTGCCCCCACTGCAGCCTGCATCATTGACTAAGGCTCCAGACAGGCACGCCACTCCATTGTCTAAAACCCTGCCTGGATGTGGGACAGGCTCATTCCCTCACATCACCTTGTCCTCCCACTGCCTTCCTGCATTGCAGCCACCACAGGGGCACACCGCTTGCCCCAGGTTGCCACCTCTGGGCCTTAGCACAGAGGCTTTCACAACCTGGGGCAGCTTTCCTCTCTTGCTGCCTGGATCCAAGCCTGGCATGTAAATGTGAAGGCACGCACTATATGTTCAGAAGCCTTTGGGTTCTTGATCCCAGCAGTGCCCCTTCCTGGTTGGGTACCCTTCCTGGCTGGCAAGTTCTTTATCCTTTCTGGGACTCAATTTCCTTATCCGAAAAATGGGGCAATAGTGGTCTTTTTCTCAATGGGAATCTTTTGAGGATGAAGGGAGATAATGCATGTGACTGCACATGCTAGGTGCAATAGGACTTCAAGCAGGAAGTTCCAACAGGGCTCCAAGCCACACGGGATGTGACATTCTAAAGTGAGGGACAAACCAGGAAGCATGCTTTCAAAGAGGTAGGTCAAAGCCTGCTACCATGGACCGAGAAATGTTGACCTGGTCTTATATGTTGCAAACAAAAGTGACCCTGGGGCACCTCTATCCAGGCATGCCCAGAGTTAACCCAGGGACTGCCACGTGGGGACACTGGAGGACACAAGTAAAGTCATTTCATGTGCTGTGCTTGCTTGACAGCATGTCCCATGAGCTCAACAGTCATTAGTGTGGTTGTTGCGATTATTAAGCACTTGGTAAGTGCATGAAGAGTTAAATCAGTTCTGACTCCTCATGTGAGCAGGGAGGGGAAGCTACCCGAGCCTGCAGTGTTTGGAATAGCCAATCTTTTTTCCCAGAAATATGGGAGTTGAAGTAAAATAGCAGCCAAATCTGGGATTCCTCAACATCACCAGGTGGCAGGGGCCAGGCCCATCTGAGCCCACCACACACCTTTGTATCCATGGCCAACACCTGGCACCACTGGTGAGGGCTAACTCCACAGGGTGCCCACTGCTCTGTGGCCCATCAGTTCCCCCTCCCCTTTCCCACTAGCCTGCTGCTTGGCCAGGCTGACTTTCAGGGGAACAAATCTGGGACAGGCCAGCACAGAGTGGGTGGCCTGTCTCCACCTTTCATTTTGGCCCCTGCACCTAGTGATGGCATTGTGCGTACCTGCCATGGAGACAGGTGCTTGTGAGGGTTGGACAGGATCTGACAGCTTTGTATTGCTGGCATCCCTGGGGGCATGAGCTGTTCAGTGACACGTCAGCCTCCATCTGCCTCTGTGCAGCACTAGATTTGGGAGGGAGGCTTCTCAGATCTCAGAGTCTTGTGTTTAAGCTGCTTCTGCTCTTATTAGTGGTGCAATTTTGAGCATTTTACTTATATTATTCTGCCTCTGTTTTCTCCCTTGTCTCACAGAGTTGGTGTAAAGATTAAAATAGGACATTTGCATGTAATGGAAGGTCCAGCTTGCATCTGGCACATTCTAAACACTCAACAGAGATTCTCTCACTTTCCTTCCTTCCTTAAAGAGGAAAGTGGAAGGACTGTTTGTGGCCTTTAATGTATTAACAGTGGAAAGTCATATCCTTGATTGCATTTATATAAAATTGAAGAATAGGTGAGATCACTCTAGGGTGCTAGAAATCAGAAAAGTGTCACTCTGGTTGGGAGACGAGCCAGGGTGACTGGGAAGACACAGGAGAAAACTTTCTGGGCTTAAGGAAAATGCTTTATATCTTGATCTTCAGGCTGGTCACTGAGAGAACACTTAAGATTTGTGCATTTTACTCTGTAAATTATGCCTCAATAAGAAAATGTTAAAAATTTTAGAAATAAACAATGAAAATCCCAGAGGAGTATTCAAAAAAAAAAAAAATCAGGCTGCAGTGTGATTTGAGGCCACTCTTGTTCAAAGATCCCCAAATTGCAAACTTTTATTTCCTCGAATCAGGTTCCCCAGGGTTTGTCCTGGACCCTTTGCTGATCTGAGGGCCTCTGCAACTTCATTTCACTTCTGAGCAAATTTTTAGAATGGACTGACAAGAGACAGCTTGGTTCTCTCCATGGGGTGGAGTACCTGGCTAGTGGCAGAGGATGTCCAGGCTTGGGCACCTCTGCTGTCACGGAAGGTTATCAGCTACAAACAGTGGTGCCAGGGCCTGGCCTGGAAGTAGAGACTGCTGGGTGATTCCCTTTGGTCCTCCTTCTCCAGAGCAGGCTCTTCTGAGGCCTCTAGTCCCTGGCTAAGCTCCAGCCCACAGCCTGGATGCACCCTTCCATGAGCAGTTCTAATACGCCCCTTCTTCAGCATATCTTACTGACCATTCTGCTAGACCTCTGTCCTCTCTCTGAATCAGGCAAAGCCAGATGCTGTGTCACCTAATTAGGTGACTGTTCCTTAGCTGCTTCACTCTCAGAGCCATGAAGGTGGTGAGAGTCATAGGGAGCCATCATGGTACCTGACAAACCTGGGCAGGGGCATCACAGCATCGCCAAGGGCACATCCTGGGAGCCACAACATTCATAACTAAGCAATCCCAGGAGGCCTGCTAACCCTATGAGTGTCCCTGAAGGGCAGAATCTTCCAGGGCTCTGAAGGATCCCCCAGTCTGAGCAGGTATGAGGTCAGTTGACCTCTGGGCTGTGATTCCCTAACCACTTTTCAAGTAGTCCTGCAGCCTTGGGGCAAAACCCAGGAGTGTCCTATCCCTTTACTTCCATTCCCCACCCCACAGAGGCAGCCACTTTCAACATTTGTCATTGGTTCTTTTGGTATTACTTCTATGTTTCCAGATAGTATTTATTTATTACCACTTCTTGATTTTTTCCTTTTAAGTGTTATTTATTAACTTCTTACTATAGAAGATGAAGATTTTGTTTCTTTTACACCCTTTCCCCCCACCATCCATAAGCACCCACTCCACCCTCCCAATTAGTTATATTAAAATTTTGGTTAGATTAACAACAGAATTTCCATTATTAGCACCGTTTAATTGCTAGTCCCACTTGAGGTATGTTATATATGATAATAATTTTTCTTTCATGAATCACTTTTGTTTTCTGTGGAGTTCATAATTGCCTTGTTTTTTATTTGCTTAGTTTTCTGCTAGGTATCAATAATCCAACCTCAAACATTCTATGAGTTGTCTAGATCTAATCTCCATGTGTTTAGATGCACCTTCTTAAAAATATCATTGCATTTTATCACTGAAATAATCTACAGCTCTCATGGAGATGTACAGGGCCAGGTGCAGAGGTCTTCAGATAGTGTTGGGTTAGAGAGAAGGCAGAGGCCTTAGCATTGGACAGACAAATTTAGATCCCACATTTATTGGCTGGGCGACCATGATTCTTCTACATCTGTCAAAATGGTAACAATGATATCACATTATAGTGTAGTCATGAGAATTAAATGAGGTACAACAAAAGTGCCTGGAGCATGGGTGCACAATAAATGTTGGTTTACTTTCTTGTGGGACAATCACAAGAATAAGGCCATTGAAGGTACTTCATCATATTAATAGAGCTTTCTCTCCCCACCCCCAAAGTATTGACCAGGCTCTGAACATTCATCAAGGCTCCTGAGACATTGACACTCCTGCTACAGGAGATGGTTAAAGCTCCTATAACTTGGCCCATCAGTCTGATGATTTCCTTTAAAAGAAGGAGCCTCCTTAATAGCATCAACAATTTTATTTTGAAATATTGCAAACAAAGACAGAAATTCTAAAAGGAAAATATATACGAGTTAAAAACAGGTACATCTAGAAAAAAAACCCACTCTAATATAAAAATAAAGGGCAAGCAACAAATTGGGAAAATATTTGCAACATATGAGTCAGTGAAAGATGAGGCCAAATTTCCTAAGTACCGGGCCAGCTTGGGTAGAGACAGTGCTCCAGCCACCCAGGCAAATGCTTTCTCCTCTATCCAGCTATTCATCCACTCACTCAAAAAACACAGGTTGAGTGTCCACCAGGTACCTGGCATTGGGGGTATAATGATGTCCCCGAACAGAAATGGTTCCTGCTTTCACGAAGCTCATGGAGCAATGCAAGTGACAGATATTCACCAATCAGTCACACTCAGGAGTATACAACTGCAACCTATGGTAAATACCATAAAGAAAAGGAGAGATGGAGCAGAGGATCCAGCCTGGACTGGGGTGTGTGGGAAGACTTCCCTGGCTGGCAACACTTGAACTATACTATAACTGGAGGGTGAATAGGAATTAAGGTGTGTGTGTATGTTTGTATGCATGAACGCATGTGCACACACATACAGGCATGCATGTGCGCACATGTGAATGTGGGAGGCATTTCAGGGGAAAGAACGATGTGCAAAAGCCCTATGGTGGAAGCCTCATGGAACACTGAGGACTGGAAGAGGGCTGTATGGCTGGCCTATACGCACTAGATGCCAGTAGCACCCCTCAGTTGGAATAACCAAAAATACTCCAAACAATGCCAAATGTTCTCTAGTGGGGCAAATTGCTCCTGGTTGAGAACCATTGACTTAAAACAAACATTTATGAGAAATCCTGGATTTCAAAGACAGGCTGCCTGTAAGCCCCTTTGCTGAAGCACTGGTCTCTTACTAGCACTGTCCAATAGAAATATAAAAAATATAATATGAGTCACATATGTACTTGTAAATGTTCTAGTAGCTATAGTAAAAGAATGTAAAACAGGTAAAATTAGTTTTAATAATAGATTTTATTTAACCCAATATATCCAAAATACTGTCATTTCAGTAAAATAATTATTAATGAGATATTGTACATTCTTTTTTTGTACTAAATCATCAAAATTTGGTGTGTCTTTTTCTCAATTTGGACTAGTGACATGCCAAGTGCTTAGTAGCCACATGTGGCCAGTGGCCAGCTCATTACACAGGAGTGGGAGGGTGGAACTAAGCTCTCGCAGAGGTATCTGGCTTGTCCTATCCCTTGGGTCATCACTAGACTTGCCCCCTCCTCAGCAGAGCCATGCAAGTTCCTCCTTTGCCCATTGGGGTACACAGGGTTCAGCCCATGCGAAAGCACCCCACAGAGGGGTCCTGACGTCTGTGGAACACACTGGAAGGCTGGTCCCATCCAGGAAAATCATCCAAGTGCTTGCAGTGTGCTAATAAGATGGGTGTGTTCCCTGTGAATCCACAGGAGGCTGGAGGCCCCCCGCTGCAAACACCTGGTGAGACACAAACTGTTTCCAAGCTCCCAGGCAAATGCTCCATCCACCTCCAAAGACCCATCCTCCACTTCATTGTTTACAAAAGGAGCTCAGCCCTCCCAGATACTGGCCACCTGAAAAGACACATTCTATTTTTGTAAAAGACAGATGTTCTCATTCAAAATGACACTTTCCGTGGCTAAGAAGTTGTTGTCCATGGAGATGCTGTCTCTAGCCCCATACAGTGGCCAAGTCTTCAGGTCACTGTGCTGGGTCGCTGGCTGGACACAGGCTGGCTAGCCCAGTCCTGGACTCTCCTGACCCCCATCTCTTGCTGGTCTGAGTCTGCTCCCGCATCCACCCGTCCTGCCCCCAGACCCTGCAGCTTTCTGAGTGTTCTGGCAGGAAAGCCTGCCTGCCCCTGGCCTGCTTGAGGAAATACTGTCTGCAAAGCAGCGGGAACGAAGACCCTCGCTTGCACCCAGCTGTCTCTAGAAGCCAGGGCATGGCCTTCCCTGGTAAGGGGTGCTTCTGTGTTGGCCACAGGGCAAATCTTGGGCATTTCCTTTTTAGTAAAGAAGCAAAGTTTCCTTAAAGTTGCCACCAGGTCACCTGGAGCGACCGAGGGCCTCTGTAAAATGTGGAATGTGGGGCGAAGTGTGCACACCCACTGGGGCACTAAGCCGGCCACCGCCCTTTTGCAACTTCAGGTCGTGTCCCCACCCAGCCCAGGAGTTTCACGAGGAAGGGCACTTCCTCAGGAGGATGCTCACTATTCAGCGGCAATGGTCCCAGAACGCCCGCCCCATGTGACACATGGCGTGACGGCTGGCCAAGTGTCCGCGCACGTTTGCCAAGAGGCACATGCGGTGCCCAGAGAAACCCCAGAAAGTTGGACTTACCCCTCCTGGCCTGCCTGATCTTTGGGCTCAGCATGTTCTTGCAGCCGTCCGGCCAGCCCCGCAGGGCCGTTCATGCTGTCATCCACTTGCTTTTGCTCGTCCTCGCGCCTAGTCGCCCCTCATGTCCTGCTCGTTCGGGGCCCCGTGGCCGCTGGCGTCACCCGTCAGGCTCCCTCGGCTACCTCTCCTGGCTCCGGACGGACGGCTCGCCTTGGACTACATAAACCTCGATGCATTATTTATCCATCCCAGAATTAATTCCCATCCAAGCGGACCATTAAAGCCTCAGTAATCACTGCTGATCAATCACTGGACCAGGGCGGGGCAGTCCCTCCGCCTGGCCTGGGCGCACGCGTGGCTGTCCAAGCTGAGCGCGGGGGCGGGGCGGGGCCGAGAGGGGCGGGGCCAGCCAGAGACGCGGGGCGCGGTCCTGGCCCGGGAGAGGGTACTGGGGTTCCGGCCATCCTTTGCTGAGGCTGGAAGAAATGCGCCTTTCAGCCGCCGCCTGGGAGCCGCACTCCCTGCCAAGCCCGGGTGGGATAGCGCTTTGGTGAGAAGGTAGCCGAGACCCCCCCCCCACCCCAGAGCCCAATCCACGGGGACCCGCTTATGAGCTCACTGTTTTACGTGTTGAAAGTCAGGTGTGTCTGGGAAGGAGCAAGCAGCCCGGCAATGTAAACTCCTCAGGAGACTCCCAACAGGAAGATGCCTGTTAGGGATACTATTTATGCCTCTTTAGTAAGGTGACAGGAATAAGAGGGCAGGAAGCACTTAACTCAGGGCTCTTCATAGGAAGATCTGAATTGAATAGTGAATCTCTGCTAATTGCCATGTTTCTGTTTGATGCTGGCATAATTTTAAAGGGTGTATACTGGGGCTTTGTGAGGAGCGGAATCCAGCCTCAAGATGCTAAAAATTACCCAAGGAATGCAATCATAACAATAGCTATCATTTATTAGGCACCTACTATGTGTCAGGCACTGAGGCTGGTGCTTTACATTCAATATCTCATTTAACTCTCAAACTCCTGAAGCAGGTGCTATATATATAGCGTTTCAAATCTGGAAAATAAGGCACAGCAAGGTTGAATCACCTGCCCAAAGTCATACAGTACCGAGCAGCAGGGCGGGCACCAGAACCCAGGGCTGTGTCTACAGCTCCTGCTGCTCTGTGATGCCAGCCTCTCCACCCTATTCCCATCACTGCATGGTAACAGCTCCTGGCTTGAGCCCCCGATGAACTTGCTGAACGGTGACCTGCCTCTGTGCCCCTGATAATCACTCCGTGTATCCTCTTAGGCATCTGAGCTTGGGTCTGGCTATTTGGGCCTGAGAACTGTGTGACCCTTTCAGTAGCTGGTAAAGAGGGATTTGAACAATGCCCTCCCCTGCTCAGATGGCCATAGCCTCCATCTGACCCTCCACACTCCCTCGAGTGCCCCATGTCCACAGATCCCCAAGTGTCCTATTGGTATGTAATCAACTTTAGCAGCTGTAGAGGGAGAGAGCCCACCAGGAGATCACTGTGGCAGTCCTCCCTAGGGAACAGTGTGCCCTATGGAGAGGGGAGGACTGCAGAGTAAGAAGAAAGACTCACCAGGATGTGGTGAGCCACATGGCCAAGCTGGTGGGAGAAGGTAGAGTCCATGGACACAAAGCTGTCTTACTCAGCATCAAGTCACTTGTTCTGGTCTTCAGCTACTCCTCAGAGGGATGAATGAGTACCTTGGCATAACATTCCAGGTTCTTTCATGGTAGCATCCATGGACTCCTCTCTGACCTATCTCTTGCCGATGCTCTATACAACCATATGCACATACAGCGCCTGCTCCTGTGTGCCCCAGTGACTTTGCACATGCCTTGCTCCTGTGTGTTCCTGTTCTTGCATGTGCAGCCCCTGCTCTCCTGTGCCTCTGTGTTTTTGCACATGTAGCTGTGTCTTTGCACGTGCAGTTCCCTCTCTCTGGAATGCCCTTCCTCACATTGCCTTGTCCTCTTTGGGCAATTCCCCAATGAAATTCTCCTGATTCCACCAGCAGAATGAGCCACTAAGCACTTCCCCTGGGCCCTTATCTATGTCCCTGTACTGCCCCTCTTGTACGCCCTCCCTGAGCCCCAGGCTGACTCAGGCCAGAAGCCTCACAGGAAACTCTGGCTTCATGGGCAGATCCAAGAAACACCACTGAATGACAGAACTGACCTCCTTTTCCTTTAAGGCCAGGTACAAGCCCTGGTTGGGACAGGGGCCACCCATGAGGAGTGGGGAGAATATCAAGCTAGAAAATCTCATGTCGACACCAGGGTCACAGGGCAAGTCCTGTGGCTTGTGACAATGTCTTGAGCAATCAGGAAGCCATTTGTGAGTAATGCAGCCTGGACCACTTCATCCAAGTCAGAGGCAAGGAAATGCCCTGAGACTTAGTCTGGGTCCACTCACGCTTGTTTTGGTTAAGAAACCACCCCCAGGCGCTTTTCCTGTGCAGCTGTTTTCCCTGATGATATTAAGTCACTGTGTTCACTCGCCTGCTTTTCTGGGGATCAGAGCTGGGCTCACACCCCAGAAGTCAGGCTGGGAAAAGGGCAGGAGTTGATCTACGTTCTGCGTCTGAGAAGGCTGGGGGAATGGGGCAGGTGGGCAAAGTAGCTCTTTTCTCCTCTCCAACCTCAGACTGTGCTCTCAGTACTTCCTGAGATGAAGGGTCCACAGAGGCAGGAATTGGAGCCCCTTCATCCTGAAGTTTACCAGCCCTGATCTGCAGGGCCCTGGGAGCCTCCCACTTCCTCTGGGGTGGCCTGTGGGAGGATGGAGTGGGGACAAGGGCAGGGCAAGGGGATCTGTTGAACATGTGACCTCCTATAAGCTTTTATTTGAAGAACCAGCCCTACTCTTCTCACTTATAAGTGGGACACCCAGACCAAGGAGTGGGAGATACAGGTCTAGCTTAGCAGCGGAGACAGATGCCTCCTTCTCCACTGCCCTGTGCCTGCCTGCACGGTGCTGCCCCTTTCCAGCAGTGGTCCTAGGTCTGCCTTCACCTGGCTTCCTGCCTTGAATCATTCAGTATTTTCTAAGGGCTGTTCAGGGACAGAAGCTGAGCACTGAATGGACAGAAGTCTCCGGAAGGCAGAAGGCATCTATTGAAATGCACACCTGTTGGTGGGATGGCTGCCAATCAGCATCAACTGGCCCAGAGCCAGGATACCTTCAAAACAGTAGTTCCTAACCTTGGCTGCACATTAGGGAGCTCTGACAGTGAATTCCTGTGTCCCACCCCCAGTGGCTCTGATTTAACTAGTCTGCAGTGTTTATTGTCATTGGGAGTTGTAAAAGCTCCTCTAGGGATTCAGCCAGGGTTGAGAACCACAGCTTTAGAAGACAACTGCACATGGGGTGTTTGCTGGCTGCCATCCTAAGGGAGATTCTTCTCAGGGAGAGGCACATCTGCGAATAAATCTCCTGGTCAGAAAGTGGAAAGGGCATCTGTCCCAAGCCCCAACTTGAGACAACTCCACCCAGAGCCACAGGTGCTGTTGGATGGTCTGTGCACTGCTCAAAGGTGTCCAGTAGAGGGAGGTAAGGAGGCTGAATTTGGGCTCCATTGGCAAAGCCCTGTGTTCCAGCACAGGGAGGTGGGGAGGTGTGCAGCTAGAGGAGGGAGCTTTCCTCTAATTTGCACAAAGGCGACATATAGATAGCAAAGCCCTGCTTCCCCTGTTCCAGAAGCTGCATGGAGGACCAGAGTAAGCCCTTCTGGAGGCAGAGGAGAGAAACAATGCTACTCTGGCTTTGTGATGCCTGCCCAGGGGTCACCAGCACCTGGGTCCCCAGCCTGCCTGCTTAGTGCACTCTCTGTTCCTGCTGCCAGGAGGTCGATGCCGCAGCTCCCTTGCATGTCACTCAAGGTCTTCATGGGCAGCTCCCACCCTCATACTTTGGTTTCTCCTTCTGTCTATCCCAGTAGTGGGCCGGACCAGCTGGAGAGTACCAATGACATAACTGATTGTTAAATTTTCAGGAGTTTTGTAAGCCAGTTGTTTAGCAAGAACATCATTAGAAATTAATGTATATAAACTTATAATTAAATAAACTATTTAAGACAAAGGTAACAAGCACTAAAAACTCATAATTTCCAAATCATTTTACTACATTTTATTATTCTTCAGGTAATTGACATCTATTGTTTCTACATGGTGGATAATATATACTGGGTTGCTGCCATGCATCTCTTCTCAACTCTAATGTTCAATGACATCATGCTGGTAGTTTGAAATTGAATGTTGTGGGAGTATTTACACCAAGAAAACTAGCAAATGCAGTAAATCAGAGCTTAGATGTCTTGTTTTGTTTTGTTTTTCTTCTACAGAGCTGGTTGTTAAGCATTTGTCAGCACACCTCTGGCCCATTTCCACCACATTCACTCTGTCTGCCCCAGTCACTGTAGACTCCCTGTTCTAGGCAGAGGATGCCAGCTCTCCACCTGAATCTGTTCTCCCCTTCTTCCTGGGAACACACAGATGTTCTACATTTCCAGCATCCTTGCAGTTAGGTGTGACTGCATCCTGGCCATTATACATGAGCAGAAGTGATGTGGTTACTTCTAGGCCTGGCTTCCAGGATTCCTTCTCTTGCTACCCTTCTAAGCTCATTTCCCTTTTCTGGTTGATTGGGATGGGACCACTTTGGAATTCCCATGTAGAATATGGTAGAATCCCTGCAGTCTGGGGCTCTGAATGACTGCATGGAGCCAAGCCCTCACTGTCAACCTGGAAGTATCTTGAGAGAAAGAGAAATTAACTTATACTGTATTGAGTCATTTCATAGTTGGTCCTCTTCATTACTATAGCCGACATTCTCACTGGGTACACACTCCACTCTGCCTGCCCTTTTTTGCCTCTTGAACTTTGATGCATCCCTCTGGACCTTGTTCCAGCACCACCTCCTCACTCAGTGCTGTATGGAGTTCGGCACCTTTAACATTTCCCATTTCTTCCATGCCCAAGGCCACGGGGACCTTCTACAAGGCCTGTTGCGAGATCTTTAGAGGAGTACGAGTTTTTCCTGCCCCCTCACCCATAATTTAAATATCATCTATATACGAAACCTATCATATGCTGAATTAAAAAAATTCTTCCTAGATTTTTAAATTGGGAAACTGTGGGATTCATCAAAGGTGAACTTTTGCTCCACTTTGGTGGCCTTGCCCTGCTTGTACTGTAAGCCTGTCCTTGGTCTTCCTGCCATTGGGCACTTGGGCACTGCAGGCTGCTCTGTCATAGAGGGAATGGCCTTTCTCTCCACCCACTGTTCCTGGCTTCAGCTCTGCTGCCTTGGGCCTAAAGTCTGTCTCCGCCCTTTGGCTCCACCATCTCTGTCCCCTTGCCTTGGCTTTTCATTTCAGTTTTGCCCACACCCTGCAGTCCATGGCATACCCTCCCTTTGACAGCTCAGGACCCCAGAAGGGGTCTAAAGCCTGGACTTCTACCTATCTGGGGTCTTTGTTGTCTTGGGATCCTGAACAGAAGGACAAAGACGCAGAATTAGGCACTAGGAAACCACCCAGACATACCGAGCAAGAGAGTTCAGACCGGAGCACAGAGGCTTTGCTTGGAAAGCCCCTGGATTGCAACCTGTATCCTTGGGCATGATTTCTAGAGTCATTCAGCCCTGGTCTGTGGGAAAGGTGACTTAGGGGCACTGCATTGGCTCAGGCACCATAACCATAACCTTTTGTTCCAACCACTGTTGTAGCACTTGTCACACATCACCTTTAACTTTGCAACAGTTAAGTCAGAGGATGCCTAGTGTGGGCTGAATAGATGAATGAGTGGTGCCTCAGCTGGGTTCCAGTGGCAGATGCTGAGGTAAGAGTTTTTTTAGGGATTAACATTTTGCTCAGGAAAGGAGGGAAGCAGGGATGGGGAGGAAGGTATCAGAGCACACTGCATACCTGACAGTATTGCTGCCAGCCCAACTGGCGCTCCGAGCAGATGACCCGCTGGAGGGGTCTGGGTTTGGGCAGAGGTGGCCAGGACTTGTGCAGTCATTGGCTTGGAGCCACCCAAGAAGGGAGTGAAGTTGGCTGTAAAGCTAAGAGTCACCCTAAAAGAGCTAACAGCTAGCAGCTGTCAGCTGACTTCACTCCTGCAGTTGGGCAGTGAGTCCTTTTCAGAAGCAGGCTCAGAGCGGCTTAGTTCCATGCCTACCACACTTGGGCTTTAGAGCTTGCAGACTCAATTTTAAGCCTCTGTAAATGTTGGATTCATGGAAATACTACTCACCTAGGACTCTTTGATCCACTTGGACAACTATCTGGGCTGCTCATTGAATTGAGCAGCTTTCAGGTAAAGAATTTATTCAGCTGTAAAGTCTGTGGGTTTCTCACAAGGGGAAGCTTGTATTAGAGTGAGTGTGGGACTGATAGTAGCACAGGCTCTGCCTGTGAGTGCTGGGTTCTCACAGGGTACCTTGGAAAGCAGCTTCGGAGGGACCCTAGCTTACCAGGTGTGACACCCTGGGCTAGGCAGGGTCCCTGCTTACAGGAGTTAGAGGCTGAGACGAAAGAGTGAAACATGTCCTTGCTATATGGCAGTCCTGTTTCTGGGTCCTGGGAACATGATGCACTGAGATTCCCAAAAGCTGCCCCCCTTCCTAGAAAAGAAGGGGGGAGGTCGCTGCATCAGCTGCCCAGGCTCCAAAGGCAACCCCTGCCCTTCCCCAACCGTACCAACAAGGAAGCAGGTCTGAAATGATTCCCTTCCCTGAAACTTAGGTAAAGAGTCAGATTTTAGGTAAAGAGTCAGATTTTAGAAAATGATAAATCACCATTTTGATCAGCTTTGCACTATTGAAAATCAAGCCTTCTACCTTGAGAAAATAGCTGCTTGTTGAACAGATAGAAAGAGTGGAAATTTCCCAGGTGCCTTCTCTCATTGCTCACACCTCTCACCACAGTCAAATTCTTCCCTGCCCCACTGTTCTGAGCAGATGCCACACCCTCGATCCCTCCTGTAACTTCCTCCTGCTCCTTTCCCTTCCCTTCCCTTCTCTTCCCTTCCCTTCCCTTCCCTTCCCTTCCCTTCCCTTCCCTTCCCTTCCCCTCCCCTCCCCTCCCCTCCCCTCCCCTCCCGTCCCCTTCACTTTCCTTCTGCCTCCTGGGTCCATGCAATTGTTCTGCCTCAGCCTCCTGAGTAGCTGGGACTACAGGTGCGTGCCACCACACCCGGCTACTTTTTGTATTTTTAGTAGAGACGGGGTTTCACTATGTTGGCCAGGCTGGTCTTGAACTCCTGACCTCATGATCCGCCTGCCTTGGCCTCCCAAAGTGCTAGGATTACAGGCGTGAGCCACCACACCCAGCCAACTTCCTCCTGCTTTTCTATCCATTTCCCCTCCTTTTGCATCTTTAATCCCTCCCTCATTGGTGCTTTTTTCCAAGTTGACAAACTCCCTCAAGTCTTTCCTGCTCTCAAGATTATGCCTCCTCTTCACCTCATCTGTTATAGTGGAATGGAATTTGTTTTTTGGCTGTACCATGTCTAGCCCCTCCCTGTTTTGGAGGTATTCCCCATCTCCCTCTTCGGAAGCTACAAGAATGGATCTGCTCTATATCTGGCAGGCAGTTGGATGTGGTCATGTGGCTGAGGCTCAGCTGAGCAGATGACCCTGCCTGGGTTTTGAATCTCATCTTGAGTGTGACCCAGAGATGGACAGAGTCGACTTCTCAGCACTGGTGGCAGTGATGACACCTGCTGTGATGATGAGGCTTTTCCACAGGTGGCACTCTGCAGGGGTGTCCTCCCCAGGCTCTTCCTGCAAGAAGACTATACTTGTGCTTCCTGCTTTTAGGCTCTCTGTAGCCACTATCATTCTGTCCATTTTCTAACCTGGTCCTCCAGCTTACAAAGGATTTTTCCAATAAATTCTCTTTTCTGGCTTTAGCTGATTTGGATTTCCTTTCTGTGACTCACAACCCACAGAATTCTAACTGATGCCCACATTATGCCTCTCTGCCATGTTCCCCATTCCTGTTCTCCTCTCTCACTTCCTAATCCTTTTAAATTGGCACAGATGGTGCAGTCCCCCACTTTTCCATTCTCTCACTGATGGCATTTCCTTCCCTATCTCCCCAGTTATACTGTCAGCCTCATCACTGTATGTCTCAGGCTGGAAACCACAGGTCGTCCTTCAAAACCCTGGACTTTTGGTTAGGACCGATAGTAATCTCAGCTCACCAGAAGGTGCTGCTGGATGATGCCCTCCTACCTCTGACCAACACTTCTTTTCTCCCAACCTTTTTTTTGTCCTCATCTGTTTCAAAATCCAGCTCCCATCTCAGTGTACACCTTTGGCCTTTGTGAGAGTCTCGTGCACATGTGCTGCCTTGCTTTAGTGAGGCCTCAGTGACTCTTCTTTTAAGGCTCTCTTGTGTGTCACATGCTTCTTAATGGAGCAGTTTATACTCATCATCATGATATGGCCTCAGTAACCACTACCACTGTCATGTGACAGAAACTGTTTTCTTGGAGGTCACTGATGAGCATCTAGTTTCCAAATACCCTCAGTACTCATCTATCCCAGTTAAAAAAAGACAAGGGCTTTATAGTTTAGTAGGAAGATGGTACGTTTGAAGAACCCTTGGTTTGAATTTCTTAAACCAAGCATTCACTGTATCAGTTGATCTTCTTAATTTCTGGACCATTATTGGAACCAGATAGAAGGAAACTTAAGCCAAACCCAAGTTTCCAGTAGTTCTTAGACCTAGGCCAGACTTCATGGTGCCATGCCCTTGTGGTATATGACAGAAGTACATCTAAGTGGAGAAGTTTAGAAGAGAATTGGATGTAAGACTATATTGTTTAGAGGAGAGTTTTGGCTAGGAATATAACTTTTATAGACCACTGAGAAGAATGTAAAAAAAAAAAAGAATAGAAAAATAGAGAGGCCAGGACCAAACTATGAGAACCTCCAACATCTAAGGATTGTTAGAAGGAGGACGAAAGTTTACTTAAGGAAGTGCTATGGTTTGAGTGTCTCCTCCAAAACTCATGCTGAAATTTAATTGCCATTTTGATGGTATTAAGATGTGAGTCTTTAAAGAGGTGATCAGGCCCTAAGGACATTGCCCTCATGAACGAATTAATGTCATTATTGTGAGATTGGATTGTTATAAAAGCAGGGTTGATGTTCTCTTGAATGCTCTCTCTTGCCCTAACTTGCCCTTCTGTCTTCGCCTGGGGCTGACATAGCATGAAGGCCCTCACCAGATGCTGGTGCCATGCTCTTGGGCTTCCCATCCTCCAGAACTATAAGCCAAATACATTTATGTTCACTATAAATTACTCAGTCTGTGGTATTCTGTTATAGCAGCATAAAATGGACTAAAATAGGGAGCTAATCAAATATGGGCAGAGAGATGGGAGAAAACCCTGGGGAATATGGTATCATAAAAGCCAAAACAGGTTTAGTGTTTTCACAAGGTAGTGTCTCACTCTGTCAAATGCTGATGAGAGAGTTAGACAGTTGAGAAGAGGACAGTATTTACCAGATTTGGCAAAGGAGAGTTGTTTATAACCTTAACAAGAATAGATTCATTGTAGGAGTGGAGTAGGGTGCCAAACTGAAGTGGATTGAAAATGACTGGTGAATTCCAGTTCCAGGAACATTATGGATTACATGCTACCCAAATCCCCTTATGAAAAAAGCCCCATACTCAGCATGCTAAATATAATACAGAACACTCATTTTTAAAATAAATAGCTGAGGAAAATGGTGTCAGTTAAAATGGCAGAGTAAGACATTTCAAAATTCTGTCTCCTGTAGCAGCAGCAGCAACAACAACAAAAAAGTGACAAATCAGTGTTTTGGAATCTAGAAACTAACCAACAGCTTGCATCAGCCAGGGGAATGCTTAATCAGGAAAACCCAGCTGAGTCTCAGTAAGAACAGCAAGGTTTGTTGCAATTTAACTTACCCTAGTCCCATTCCAGCTCTCCAATAAGCAAGAGTCTTGCAAATGACAGCCCTGGTGACAGTATCATTACTGTAGGAAGCACAATGGACTTCATCTGCAAATAGCTAAAATTATTTGTTTTGACCTATTTGGTAGTTACCCAAAAGCTGGTTCAAAGGCTTGCCTTCATCTCACCTAACACAGAACTCTTCCAATGCTAAAGCAGATATCTGTGGAATTTTGTCAAAAACATTTAGAGGAAAATGTTTTACTCACTGCTGCCTCAGGTGGTGGATAATAGTTGGAGCAAAAAATAGACTAACCTAAAGCTCTGGAGAAAAGGCTGGTAAACAAGATGCTTTGAAGAGTAAGGACTTTGAAAAGCTGTAACATACAAATACACATGCCAAGGTTGTGTGAATGATCAGGAAAGACCCAAAAAGACCTGAAACTCTAACCTAAGGCCAACCTCTAGACTCTGCTCAAGCAGAAAGTGAAAGCTAAAACACGGTTGTAAATTTCTGGGCTGAGTCTTGAAGGCATGCTTCAACACACCCACACAGCAAAAATATGGGAGCACCCCTTGCCCCCAGGTATTTAAAGAAATCTCTGTCAAATCGCTAACTGACCATTAAGCTAATGGAACAAAGACTTCAATGACCACAGATGATAAAGAATACATAACTCACAAAAATTATTTCAGAAAAGTTATTAAACAAATAAATGATGGAAACTATGACAAGCAGCAACAACAGATCCTGGAAAGAAGAGAAAATCTTATTTCCAGAATTGCCATATTATACAATTCAAAGTGTCCAGTTTTCAACAAAAAATTATGAAGCATGCAAAGAAACAAAAAATATTGTCCAGAAACAAAGCTACACAAAGTATGGCTTATTTTTTTGATGGGAAAAATCAATCAGTAGAACTGTCCATAATGGAGCTCAGATATTGGACTTACTAGACAAAGACTTTAAATCAGCTATTTAAAATATATTTAAAGGTTTAAGGAAACCATGTACAAAGATCTAAAGGTAATTGGGAGAATGATGTATCATCAAGTACTGAACTTCGATACAGAGAAATTATATAAAAAGACCAAATAGAAATTTAAGAGTTGGGAAAGTACAATAACTGAAATAAAAAATTCACTAGAGAGACTCAAGAGCAGATCTGAGCTAGCAGAAGAAAAAATTAGTAAATGTGAAGAAGGTCAAATGAAATTATTCAGTCTGAGGAACAGAAAAAAAAAAAAAAGAATGAAGAAGATGAGCAAAGCCTAAGATGCCTGTGGGATATTGTCAAGTACAAGAACACCCTGTTGTATTGAGCTCTGCTTTATTGTGCTTCACTTTATTCCACTTGGCAGATATTGCATTTTTTATAAGTTAAAAATCTGTGGCAATGCTGTGTCAAGTGAGTCTATCAGTGCCTATTTTCCAGTAGTATGTGCTCATTTAGCGTCTTGGTGTCAACATTTTTTGGCAATAAAGTCTTTTTAAATTAAATTATATACATTTTATGCTTAACGGACTACAATATAGTGAAAAGATAACTTCCATTTGCACCGGGAAACCAAACATATATGTGGCTTTCTTTTTGTGACATTCACTTTATTGTGATGGTCTGGAATTGAACCTGCAATGTCTCCTAGATATGCCTACATATGCATAGAGGAAGTCCAAGAAAGAAAAGAGGAAAAGGAGAAGAAGAATATTTCAAGGAATAATGGCCACTTTCCAAATTTGATGAAAGACATGACTGTATATATCACAACCTCAATGAATCCCACATAGAATAAATTCAGAGATCTGTACTAAGTCACATTATAATCAAATTGTCAAAAGCCAGCGTCAGGGAGAGAATCCCAAAAGCAGATAAATGACTTGTCATACACAAAAGATCCTCAGTAAGATTAGCAGCTAATTTCTTATCAGAAACTAGGGAGGCCAGAGGCAGTGGAGTGATGTATTCAAAATGCTGAAACAAAAACCTGTCAACTGAATTCAACATCTGGCAAAACTATCCTTTAAATGTAAAACAGCAATCAAGTCATTTCTAGATAAACAAAAATTGAGACAGTTAATTGCTAGCAGACCTAACCTACAAGATCTATTAAAGTGAGTCCTTCAGGCTAAATGAAAAGACACTAGACAGTAACTGAAATTCACATGAAGAAATTAAAAATAGTACTTAAGATGACCATATAGGCAAATACGTAATTATTAATTTTTTTGCAACTTCACTTTTCTCATGTTATTTAAAAGACAACTATGTAAGACAACAATTATAAATCTGCATTAATAGGCCCACAATGTATACAGATGTAACTGGTAGTAATAACATAAATTTGGCAGGGGGGAACAGAGATATATAGAAAAAAAGTTTTGTAATACTATTGATATTAAGTTGGTATTAGTCCAAACTAGAGTGTCCTAAATTAAAATATGATCCCCTATGCACTCAACACTGGACCACTCAGATATACAAAGCAAATATTATTAAAGCTAAAGAGAGAGATAGACCCCAAATACAATGATAATTGTGAACTTCAATACTTCAGTCTCAGTGTTAGACAGATTATTTAGACAGAAAATTAACAAAGAGACATTGAACTTAAACTGCACTTTAGAACAAATGGACCTAACAAACATTTACGGTACACTTCATCCTAAAGCTCCAGAATATACATTCTTTTCATCAGCACGTGGAATATTGTCCAGGATACACCACATTTTAGGACATAAAACAAGTCTCAACAATGTGAAATAATTGAAATTATTTC
Source organism: Homo sapiens (assembly GCF_000001405.40). Taxonomy (NCBI): domain Eukaryota; kingdom Metazoa; phylum Chordata; class Mammalia; order Primates; family Hominidae; genus Homo; species Homo sapiens. The sequence goes on from NC_000010.11 coordinate 48,617,497, forward strand.
AAGTATCTTTTCTGATCACATCAGAATAAAGCTAGAAATCAATTATAAGAGGAGCTTTCAAAATCATACAAACACATGAAAATTAAACACCATGCTCTTGACCAACCAATGGATTGATAAAGACATTTAAAAAACTTTCTTGTAACAAATGAAAACAGAAGTACAACATATAAAAATCTTTGTGACACAGCAAAAACAATATTGAGAGAAAAGTTTATAGCAAAAAATGCTACATCAAAAAAGTAGAAAGATTTCAAATAAACCTAGTAATGCCTCTCAAGAATCTAGAAAAGCAAGAACAAACCAAACCCCAAATTAGTAGAAGAAAATAAATAATAAATATCAGAGCAGAAATAAGTGCAACTGAGGCAAAAATACAAAATATCAACAAAATGAAAAGTTGGTTTTTTGAAAAAATAAACAAAATGGACAAACCATTAGCTAGACCAAGTATGAGAAAAAGAAATAAGACTCAAATAAATACAATCAGAAACAAAAGAGGAGACATTACAACTGAAACCACCTAAATACAAATGATCATTAGAGATTAATGTGTACAACTATATACCAACAAATGAAAATAAATAAATTATTTTCAAACCTAATGGAAATAAGTAAATTTCTGGACATATACAACCTACCAAGATTTAACTGAGAAGAAATGGAAAATGTGAACAGACCAATTATGAGTAATGAAATTGAATCTGTAATTAAATGTCTCCCATCAAAGAAAAGCCCAGGACCTAATGCAGAATTCTACCAAACATTTAAAGAAGAAATAGTACAATTTTTTTCTTAAACTATTCCAGAAAATACAAGAGGAGGGAATTCTCCCAAATTCATTCCATGAGCCTAGCTATACCCTGATGCCCAAACCAGATAAGGACACAATAACAACAACAAAACTACAGGTCACTATCTCTGATGAAAATAGATACAAAAATTCTCAACAAAATACTAGCAAACCGAATCCAGCAGCATGTTAAAAAGATCATTCACCATGATCAAGTGGGATTTATCTCAGGGATGCAAGTGTGGTTCAACATATGCAAATCAATAAATTTGATACATTAGATCAACATAATGAGGCACAAAATCCATGTGATCATCTCAATAGATGTATAAAAAACATTAGATAAAATTCAACATCCCTTCATGATAAAAAATTCTCAACAAGTTAGGTACAAAAGGAATGTACCTCAACACAATGAAGGCCATATATGACAAACCACAGCCTACATCATATTGAATAGGGAAAAGTTGAAAGCTTTTCCTCTAGGATCTGGAACAAGACAAGGATGCCCACTCTCGCCACTGTTATTTAACATAGTACTGGAAGACCTAGCCTGAGCAATTAGGAATAAATTGAGAAAGATGTAAAGAACATCCAGGTTGCAAAGGAGAAAGTCAAATTGTTCCTCTTTGCAAATGACATGATCTTATATCTAGAAGACCCTAAAAGCCCCACCAAAAACTCTTAGAACTAATAAACAAATTCAGTAAATTTGTAAGATACAAAATCAGCATACAAAAGCCTATAGCATTTGTATACACCAAAAACGAACTAGTGGAAAAAGATATGAAGAAAGCAATCCTGTTTACAACAACTACAAAAAAATACCCAGGAATAAGTTTAACCAAGGTGGTGAAAGATCTCTACAAGGAAAACTATGAAACACTAATGAAATAAATTGAAAAGAACACACAAAAATAGAAAGGCATCACATAGTCATGAACTGAAATAATTAATATTGTGAAAATGACAATCTTACCAAAAACTCTCTGCAGATTCAGTGAAATCTCTGTAAAATACCAATGACATTCTTCATAGAAATGGAAAAAATGAGCCCAAAATTGTATGGAATTACAAAAGACCCCAAGTAGTCAAAGGAATACTGAGCATGAAGAATAAAGCTGGAGGCATCACACTACTGAACTTAAAAATAAACTCAAAGTGTTGGAAACCAAAGAGCATGATACTGGCATAAAAACAAACACATAGACCAATGGCAGAGAATAGAGAGCACAGAAATAAATCCACAGATTTACAGCCAACTGATTTTTGACAAAGGCACAAGAGCATACATTGGGGGAAGGACACTGTCTTCAATAAATGATGTTGGGGGACACTGGATATCTATGTGATCTATGTGCAGATAAATGAAACTAGACTTCTCTCATACTGTATACTAAAATCAACACAAAATGGATTAAAGACTTAAATGTAAGACCTAAAATTATAAAACTACCAAAAGAAAACATCGGGAAAATGCTTCAGGACATTGGTCTGAGCAAAGATTTTATGAAGAAGACCTCAAACACAAAGGCAGCAGAAGAAAAAATAGACAAATAAGATTACATCAGACTAAAAAACTTCTGCAAAGCGAAGGAAACAACCCAAAGAATGAATAGACAAGCTGCAGAGTGGAAAAAATATTTGCAAACTATGTATCTGACAAGGGATTAATATCCATTATATACAAGGAACTCAAATACCTCAAAAACAAAAGAACACCAAATAATTTGATTTGCAAACAACCTGGAAAGCTAACGAGCAAACTATTCTAATGTGTGATACACTTTAGTGTATTACCTTTGATCAGTAAGAAAATAGATTTACTTCAAGCTATGAAAATACAGCTTTCTGGGCCAAAGTCTTGGGAAAGAATGAATCAATACAGTTCCTCACAGAGTTTATTGGGTTGGAGCACAGTTGATTCTTGCTCATCCTGAGCCACGGAGCTGTATGTTTGTACACACACTTGTACATGTTTTTTTTTTTAAAGTTGGACAGTTTCTTAAGTGTTTTTCATACACTGTCTTCCCATCTCAGATAGGTAGGGCATACATTATCTTATCCATTGGTTGGATGGAGAAGCAGGCTCAGAGATGTTAAGGGACTTTCTCGAGTCACTCAGATCAAGAGTGACGGAGCCAGGAGTCACACTCATATCTTCTGGCTCTTTATCTTCATGGATTCCCACTGTGCAATGCCACAGGGTTGTTTTCAACTGGCCATGGAAATCATTTCCACTTTGCTTCAGTTGGGGCCTTGATCATTCCTTGCCTAAACTATCCAGCTCTTCTGCTCAGTTCCCAGCCTCCCAAAGCTCTGACTATACCACCTTGTACTGCTCAGGAGCCATGCTGGGGTATAAGCTGAAATCCAGCATGGGGAGATGAACTGGCCCATAGGCTGTGGGTGGAGAGAGGAAATGTTAGTTCTCTCACAGAGGTAGTGAACAAAGTACATAGGGTGCAGAGTAGGGAGCCACCCCTCTGCCCATAGACAAAGACATTTAGGTTGGAGTTTCACATTAATTTCAACATCCATGACAAGACGTCTCCCCACTCTGGCCAAATTCACCAGTGCACTGGGACTTGAAGCCCAGGCTCCAAGGCCTTGCTGCTTCACCTTCCTCAGAGGGAGGAGTTCAGGCTGCCAGTTACAAACACCATGGCCTTCACTGTCACTTCACAAAAGTGGGAGGCCCACATCAAGAGGTGAAGAGCAGGATGTGCAGAGCACTCTAGCAAGCTTGGTGTGTTACTCGCAACTGATGACTGCTCTTTCCAGAAAGCCCAATACATGATTGCCTTTGCATGGCCATCCAGGCTATTCCTACATACCTTTGTCTTAGACTCTTTCATTGTATATGAAAGTACATTATACTTGCATTTTTAGTAAGTTATCTTTTTAAAGGCATGTACATCTCCATTACAGCTTTATATTTCTTTATTTTTTGCAAGAAGTTGTCCTTATTTTTACATTTTTGCCTCATTTATTTTGGTTGGTTTAAACTTGCCTCATGTAAACATGTTGTCATCTCTGTCATTTTGATAATAATACTTTTCAGATCATTTATAATCTTATTTACTCAGCTTCCTATGCAATTCATATTATAATATTTATTCAATTACACACTGAATACTTTAAGTTGGATTCTTATTCAGAAAATAATTTAAGTAAATGGTAACTATTGTGTACTCCAAATGGTGGAGGATTTAGATATGCCAGATTTGTTAAAAGTATAAATCACACTATTGTTTATCCTAGTATCCTCCATCTAAAATCTATTCATCCCTAGATATTACATTTGACCCTGGGTGGCCTCAGCCTTCAAACTCAGGGCATGTTGGGGCATGGAGTGGTGCCTGTAGAAAAAAGGTTTAGTTGATTTATAATGTTGTTGAAGTCTTATTTCATTGCTGGTCTTTCGTCTAGTTATTCTGTTATTGGAATTGAGATACTGAAATTTCCAGTTATTATTGTTGCACCATTTATTTCTCTCTAAGTCTTTCTGGTTTTGCTTCATGGACTTTGGTGCTCTAGCTAGGTGAATATATGTTTATATTGTTATATCTTCTTGAAAGATTAATGCTTTTACTAATATATATTATCCTTCTTTCTCTTTTGTAATAATTTCTGTCCTAAAGTCTCTTTTGTTTGATTTTAGTGTAGCCCCTCCTCCTCTCCTTTGGTTATTCTTTTCATGGAGTATTTTTTTCTATCACATTCAACCTATTTGTGTCTTTGAATCTAAAGTCTTCCTAGACAGCATATTGTTGGATCATGTGGCTTTTTAAAAATCCATCTTGCTTGTCTCTGCCTTTAAATTGGAGAGTTTAGTCCATTTGCATTTAATGTAACTGCTGTTAAGGAAGGACTTACTTTTGTTATTTTGCTACTTGTTTTCTATGTGTGATGTATCTTTTTTTGTTCCTCAACTACTGCCTTCTGTTGTGATAAAAAGACATTTTCTGTCATACCCTTTTAAGACCTTTTTTTCTTTTACTGTATATTTTTGGGTTATTTTCTTAGTGGTTGCCTTGGGGATTACATCTTCTTTTGTTTGGTTGGGTTTGAGTTTTTAAATTTGCATTTTCTTGATTACTAATGAGGTTGAGCACCCTCTTTTTGCTTTTATTATTATTTTTAATTAACACATAACTATATATGTTTATGGGGTACAGTAACTGTATATGTTTATGGGGTACAGTGTGATATTTCAATACATGTATACAATGTTTCATGATCAAATCAGGGTAATTAGCATATTCATCACCTCAAACACTTACCATTTCTTTGTGTTTGGAACTTGGGTTTTGGAATTAGACAGCCCTGGGATCAAAATCTGACCATCATATACTGGCTGAGTGGATCAGACTAGCCACTTTATCTCTTTGTGCCTCTGTTACCACAGCTATAAAATGAGGGTAGTAATAGTCACCTGCAAGGGGTGTTTTGGAGATTAAATGAGATCAAGAATTTAAAGTGTGTAGCATGATACTTGTTACCCATTTGGCCCTCTACCAAATATAGGCATATGGCTGCCTTTACACTGGTTATTAAACAGATAACTGGAGAAGCAGGTCTCCTGCTCTTAAGAGCCACTAAAGTAGTGGGAGAGGGAAACATGCAGGCAGGCTCCTCATCACCCACTGGGCAGACACAGCTCCCTGCCTCCCCATACTCAATGCTTATTCTCAGAATATTTTACTCTGGTCAATAATACAACCTAGTTAATTTTTCAGTTCTTTAAAAGATCAAAAGCCTCTGGTCCTAGGGTGGCTACTTTCAAAATGTGCCTCTGTGACCCATGCCAGGGACTGCCAGCCTGCGGACATAGCCATCAGCTCTGGAGACAGTCCTATCTTGTTCTCCAGTGAGGAGCTTGGCATTATCCTCCTGCCTTTAACCAGCCTGCCATGGTTGAAGGCTGACAGTCCCTGGTTCAAGTGACCTAGGAAGTGCCCACTGTTCTCTGCTGCCCAGCTGGTCAGCCAGCACTGGTCAGGGCAGCCTGGGTCTGACTGGCAATGTGAGGGAGGGCTGCGTGGTCACAGTTTTGATTCTAGCTCTGTGTATTTTAGCTTTCTTACTGTCTTTGTCGAGAAAAGATTTCATCCTTCTTATGGCTCTGTGTCTCCAGGGGCTTTAATCCACATCCACTTAGTTATCTGTTGAGTGAATGATTGTCATCTAGGGCATACTTGCAATGGTGCCTCAGTTGAAGGTTGGATTGGAAGTGGCCATGAAAACTGAGTGATCACTTCTCTCCAAATGCAACAATGTGGGCTGCAGGACAGGCAGTACATCAGGCACCCAGATTGTCCAGGTCAGGCAACACCTCTATCCCTCAAAGCCCTTTGAAGTAAAAGGGTGACCTGGATGCTAAAGAACCCTGGACCCCTCACCAAGCTCCTGGTTAAGAGGAGCCCATGTCCGATCTCCAGGGCAGGTCTGGGGTTGGCATGGAAGCTGCTGCAGTGAGAATGTTTTGGGGAGCACATCCTGAAATAGCAATTGGCACAGGGGGTCACTGTGACTCATTAGTTCTCACATTTCCTCTCAAGAGAAATTCAAATTGGTGACAAAATATGACTTCCTGAAATTACCAGTGCTTGAAATTACTTTGTTCGCCGTGTGAAACTAAATTCCTTAAAATCGGGCTGGGTGAGTGTATTTTTTAGTTACTCTTCTTGAATCAGCCTCTGCAGTCACACTTGGCTTCCCATGCCTGCTTGGCCACTGATGAGCTTGGCTTGACCCTTGATGAATCAGTTAATCTGTCCATGTCTCTTTTTTTCTCTTCTTTAAAATGGGGATACGAACACCATCTGGCAAGGATTGTTGAGATCATCAAAAGAGAGGGCCTAGGCCGGGCGCAGTGGCTCATGCCTGTAATCCCAGCACATTGGGAGGCTGAGGCAGTGCAGATCACCTGAGGTCAGGAGTTTGAGACTACTCTGACCAACATGGTGAAACCCTGTCTCTGCTAAAAATACAAAAAAACTAGCTGGACGCGGTGGGTGTGCTTGTAATCCCAGCTACTCAGGAGGCTAAGGCAGGAGAATTGCTTGAACTTGGGAGGCAGAGGTGCCATGAGCCAAGATTGCATCACTGCACTTTAGCCTGGGCAACAGAGCGAGACTCTGTCTCCAAAAGAAGAGAGAAAGAGAGAGAAAGAGAGAGAACCTGTTCAGGTCATTTTCTGGGAATATGTAGGCTTTACACTCCTGGTCTCCCATCCCAATGTTTTGGGCCCCATTTAAGCTCCATCCCAATGTTTTGCACCCCATCCAGCCCAAGTCCCTTTCCTTCAATACATCTGTTTTCTCTTTTGGAAATTGCAGGCATTGGATTAGATAACTTCCATGTCATATTTCAGGTGTAAGAGAACATGATTGGGTTAACCAGAAGACAGCTATTATTTTGAGCCAACTCCAAGAAAGATAAGTTCTCATGCCACGAGGAAAGCAGCACAGGTTGGAGATCAGCTCAGTAAGAGTGAAGTGATTCCACCACATTCCAACCCTAAGGGCAAGTTCCAGTCCTAACAACAGTTATAGCTTCTCTGAAAATCATGGTGATCCTCTAGATAGGGAAACCCAAGCTACAGAGACGAGGGAAGAGCAGACGGCAGACCTATGTAAGGTGGACAGTGATGCCTGGTGACCACCTTCCTCCTCTGGTGTCTGTTGGCATAAAGCTTTTTAGAAAGAGTCACTCCATGGAGGTCTGCAGAGTCGTGTGCAGTACTTAGATTTTGGGGCCCAAGAGACCTGAGTGTAAATCCTTCACTGCCAGTTCACTGGCTCCATGAACTTGGGCCAGTCTCTTGTCTTCTCTGAGCCTCTGCTTCCTCATATGGAAAATAGGGACAACAATACCTACCTCATAGTGAGGTCATAGAGGAAGTCCCAGATCATGAGCTCCCTTCCCTTGACTCATCCCTTAACAGCAGGGATGAATATTTATGTTGTTTATCAAATCACATTTATGGAACAGAGACTGTGTGCCAGGGAACTCTTATAAGTATCTTAGCTCAAACAGCTCTCAGAGTTAGATGTGATCGTGACCCCCTTGTCTAGCTGAGGGGCTGGAGTCCCACAGAGAGTTTGGGAGGGGTGATGATTTGAATTCAGGTCTGTAAGGTGCTCTAGGACTTCCACCCTAATCATGCATAAGGCTGCCCCATTATGCTGCGTTGCAGTTCATGACCAGCTTTAAAAACATGTGCTTGATATTTGCAATACACTCAAGTGAAGAGCCATGCCTTCCAGTGCCGTTATTTTGCATTTTCACCCTGAAACACTTTTCTTCTGTTTAAGGATGTCTGATTCTAGCAGGAGCTAGACCAGACCGTGCTCACATTGCCCCTTTTTGCAAAGGAAGGGCCTCCCTGCAACGTGTACACACACACACACACACACACACACACACACACACACACACACACCTGCTTTGCTGGGCTTTCCTTCTGGGTCAGGTCAAACTCAGAGGAGGGAAGATCTGAATGTGCCTCAGCTTCCATGCTTCCAGGGATGATCTCTGCTCCACACATATCCAAACCCAGCCATCCCAGGACCCTAGCAAAGGAGTGTGTTTATATGTGCACAGGACTTAGCCCTATGACACCATTGTCACCTAGAACAGAAAGTGCTTCCCCAAATGCTCAGCTCACCACCAGCATATCTAGTCCCAAGAGAGACCTGGGCAAATCAACATCCAGTTCTCAAAAGCAGCCATGTCCCTTCTTTGGTAGACTGACTGTAAAAGTCTCCATGAGAGACATGTGGTCCCATCAACCCCATTTTTGGCCCAGCAGCGTGGATACTAGCATACTATTTGAAGCCTTGATATTATGCTGGTTTCTTACACTAACCCTATCCCACCCCTAAATCAGAGCCAATTATAAGAGAGACTCACCCAGGGGGCTTTCTTGATTTTGTCTTTTTCTTGTCCTGATTCCAGACCAGGAGCCCGGCATGGAAACTGGAGAGGTGTTGTCAAGAAACATGCTGAGTGTGAATTGTGAATTCTGATGTCCCCAGGGTCTTAATCTTGGGGACCTCATCAGGACCAAGGACATCTACCCCTCAGTGTCTTTGTGAAAACTTGTGAAAAACAGATGGAGCTTCTAGATGGTGCTGAAATCCAGTAAGCTGTTAATGGTGGCTGCTAGGAGGTGCTACATTGATATTTGTTAAGCATTTGCCTTCAGAATTGAAGCTCTGGCCACTGTTCCAGACCCATGGCACATTCGGAACTTCCTGAATATCCTGGCAGATATTCAACCCTTTCCCTCCATGTGCATTTGCTAATAACAAACTCTGCATGAAGCCCAATATCCAGCCCTGTGGAATGTGCCCTCGCAGGAGACAGAGCCGCCTGTCCCCAGGACACTCATGTGGAGGGTGTGGTACGATGGGAACTAGATATTTGATATTTGTACCAGGCATGAGCTCCTAAAACCCTGGGAATTTCCTGAGTAACAGAAGTGAGGGGAGCATTTTTGGTTATTCAGAGAAAGCCCCTTTCAAAGGCACCTGAGGCAAGGTTAAGGAGGTGACTGTGGGAGAGTGGGAACTGGCTGGGCATGGGGGTGAACCAGCCATGTGATTAGAGGGTTACAAGTTTCAGCCCTATCCTTGACCTCCAGGAAGGAGAGAGGAACTGGAGATTGAGTCCAATCACCAATGACCAATGATTTGATTAATCATGCCCACGTAACGAAGCCTCCATAAAAACCCCTAAATGATGGGGTTCAGGGAGCTTCCGGGTTGGTGAACACATGGAGGTTCTGGGAGCGGGTTGTGCATGAAGAGTGCATGGAAGCTCCATGCCCCTCCCTCTTCCCTGGCCCTACGCATTTCCTGCAGCAGGCTGTCCTGAGTTGTGTTCTTTGTCATTAACCTGCAAATGTCAGTAGTGTTTTCCTGAGTTTTGTGAGTCATTCTAGTGAATTATCAAACCTGAGGAGGGGTTGCAGGAATCTATTAATGCATAGCCAAGTAGGACGGAGTGTGGATGGCCTGGGCACCCATTTTCATCTGAAGTCGGGGAGGTCTTGTGGGACGGAGCCCTAACCAGTGTGGTCTGCACTAGCTCTGGAGAGCTAATGTCAGAATTGAAATGAATTGAATTGAATTGAACTGTTGGACACCCAGCTGGTATTGGAGAATCAGAGAGGGCAAGACAGGTGTCCAAGGATGTCTGTACTCACTCTAGGTTCAAGGCATGGTGGGCAGGGCCTGTCCCATTCCCATCTGGGCTAGCAGCCAGGACAGGGTTTGGGAGAGAGCCGGCGCTCCACACTGAGTGGGGACACAGGGCTGCACAGGGCAGGCCACTGGGAAGCTTGGCTCATGCCCACAGCATCTTGCTCTTCTGGTCAAGTTTTAGTTTCGAATTTCAGTCTCCTCTGATATTCCAAGGGCTTTATGAAAGATCCCAACTGATAATGTGAGGCATGCATTCTCAGGGCCCCTGGATGAGGGTCACTTTGGGCCCGGCCTCTGGTGTGGCTGGCTGAGGTGTGTGGGCACTTCATTCAGGCCACCAGGTGCTCTATTGGACAAGCTATGGGGTCTGGTGTGAGGCTGGCTTAGCCCAGAGGAAGGGGCATCTTTGTGATTTGTAGAAAGGTACTATCTATACTTT